>NC_000017.11:4278989-4430504 GCF_000001405.40 Homo sapiens | reverse complement strand
TATTTTGAGCCTCTAATCTCAGCACTTTGGGAGGCCAAGGCAGACGGATCGCTTGAGGTCAAGAGTTCAAGGCTGGGCGCGGTGGCTCACACCTGTAATCCCAGCACTTTGGGAGGCTGAGGCAGGTAGATCACAAGGTCAGGAGATCGAGACCATCCTGGCTAACACGGTGAAACCCTACCTCTATTAAAAATACAAAAAGTTAGCTGCGCATGGTGGCGGGCGCCTGTAGTCCCAGCTGCTCAGGAGGCTGAGGCATGAGAATGGCATGAACCCAGGAGGCGGAGCTTACAGTGAGCCAAGATCACGCCACTGCACTCCAGCCTGGGCGACAGGGTGAGATTCCATCTCAAAAAAAAAAAAAAAAGAGTTTGAAATCAACCTGACCAACATGGTGAAACCCCGTCTTTACTAAAAAATCCAAAAAATTTAGCTGGGCATAGTGGCACACACCTGTAGTCCCAGCTACTCGGGAGGCTGAGGCATGACAATTGTTTGAACCCTGGAGGGAGAGGTTGCAATGAGCCAAGATGGGACCACTGTACTCTAGCTGGGGCAACAGAGCAACTTTGTCACTCTGTCTCAAAAAAAGAAAAAAAAAAAAGAAAAGAAAAGAAAACAAAGACTCAAACAAATACTTGTACATAAATGTTCATGGCAGCACTGTTCATAACAGCCAAAAGGTGGAAACAGCTTAAACGCCCATCTGATAAATGGGTCAAGAAAATGTGGCATAATCATACAATGGAATAGTATCCAGTCATAAAGAGGAAGGAAGTACTGATTCATGCTACAACACGGATAGACCTTAAAAACATTATGCTGGCTGGTCACAGTGGCTCACGCCTGTAATCCCAGCACTTTGGGAGCCCGAGGCAGACAGATCACCTGAGGTCAAGAGTTTGAGACCAGGCTGATCAACAAGGTGAGACTCCATCTCTACTAAAAATACAAAAATAATCCGGGTGTGGTGGCACCGCACTTGTAATCCCAGCTACTCAGAAGGCTGAGGCAGGACAATGGCTTGAACCTAGGAGGTGGAGGTTGCAGTGAGCCGAGATTGTGCCACTGCACTCCAGCCTGGGCGACAGAGTGAGACTCCGTCTCGGAAAAAAAAAAAAAGAAAACATTATGCTAAGTGAAAGACACCAGACACAAAAGGCCACATATTGTATGATTCCATTTATAGAAAATATCCTGCACAGGTATAGTCACAGAAACAGAAAGTAAATGGTTCCTAGAGGCTAAGAGGAGAGGAAAATGCTTAATGGGAAGACAGTCCCCTTGGAGAGTGATGAAAATGTTTCAAAACTAGATAGAGGAGATGGTGTCACAACACTCTGAATCCACTCAATGCCACTGAATTATATCCTTTAAAATGGTTACAATTTTAAGTAATGTAATTACCTCAATTTTTAAAAAACATTAAAGAAGCCGGGCTTGATGGCTCGTGCCTATAGTTTCAGCTACTTGAGAGGCTGAAGTAAGAGGATTGCTTGAGCCCAGGAGTTTGAGAACAACCTGGGCAACACAGCAAGATCCTATTTCTTTAAAAAAAAGTTAAAGCAAACAAACAAAAAAGTAGGAGCTTTACAGTCTGACCGGCCTGGATTCAAAATCAAATTTTGCTACTTTCTAGTTGTGTGCCTCAGGCAAGTCTCTAACCTCTCTGAGCCTCCGAGTTCTCATTTGTTTTCTTGTTTAGAGACAGAGTCGCCCCAGGCTGGAGAGCAACTGTGCAATCTCAGCTCACTGCAACCTCCGCCTCCTGGGTTCAAGCCATTCTCCTGCCTCAGCCTCCCGAATAGCTCGGACTACTGGCACACACTGCCATGCCCAGATAATTTTTTGTATTTTTAGTAGAGACAGGCTTTCGCCTTGCTGACCAGGCTGGTCTAGAATTCTTGACTTCAGGTGATCCGCCTGCCTTGGCCTCCCAAAGCGCTGAGATTACAGGCATGAGCCACCATGCGTGGATAATTTTTTGTATTTTTAGTAGAGACAGGATTTCGTCATGCTGACTGGGCTGGTCTCGAATTCCTGAGTTCAGGTGTTCTGCCTGCCTCGCCCTCCCAAAGTGCCGGGATTACAGGCGTGAGCCACCACGCCTGGATAATTTTTTGTATTTTTAGTAGAGACAGGCTTTCGCCATACTGACTAGGCTGGTCTCGAACTCCTGACTTCAGGTGATCTGCCTGCTTCGGCCTCCCAAAGTGCTGGGATTAAGGCACGAGCCACTGCGCCCAACCAGTGTTCTCATTTGTGATAGAGAATAATAAGATGGGTTGGGCGTTGTGGCTCATGCCTGTAATCCCAGCACTTTGGGAGGCCAAGGCAGGCAGATCACCTGAGGTCAGGAGTTTGAAACCAGTCTGGCCAACATGGTGAAACCCCGTCTCTACTAAAAATATAAAAACTTAGCCGGGCGTGGTGGTGCATGCCTGTAATCCCAGCTACTCGGGAGGCTGAGGCAGGAGAATCACTTGAACCCAGGAGGTAGAGGTTGCAGTGAGCCGAGATTGCGCCATGGTACTCCAGCCTCGGCAACAAGAGCAAGACTCAGTAAGTCTTAAAAAGAGAATAATATGACGATGTTTCAGGGGTTAATTGTGAGGATGAACTAATATAGATACACATACTGTTTCCAACATAGAGCTTGTCATGTGACAAACAGAGTGTAGAGTATTGTTATTGTGGTGGTGACGATGATGACGAGGTCCTTGGCATCCACTGCCTGGTTCAGCCGCATACCGTCTCGGTGACCACCCACATGGGGTCTACAGTTGGTGAATGAAGGGGAAGTTCAAGATCATCCATGCGCACGTGCAGGCGGTCTCGCATCCTGCTTCAGAACCTGTACTCCGCAGCTAGACTCACTGCTCACTGGCCATAGGATCTCAGGCAGATCACTCAACCTCTCTCCATCTCAATTTTCTCACCTACAAAATGGGGATGGCCAGGCACAGTGGCTCGTGAATGTCATCCCATTACTTTGGGAGGCCAGGACAGGCAGATCGCTTGAGTTCAGAGTTGGAGATCAGCCTGGGCAACACGGCGAAACCCCGTCTCTACTAAAAATGTAAAAATTAAGGCCGGGCGCGGTGGCTCACGCCTGTAATCCCAGCACTTTGGGAGGCTGAGGCGGGTGGATCACCTGAGGTCAGAAGTTCGAGACCAGCCTGACCAACATGGTGAAACCCCGTCTCTACTAAAAAAAAAAATTTTTAATACAAATACAGATACAAAAATTAGCCAAGGATGGTGGTGCATGCCTGTAATCCCAGGATCACCTGAGCCCAGGAGATCAAGACTGCAGTGAGCCGTGATCGCACCACTGCACTCCCACCTGGGCGACAGAGTAAGACTCTTGTCTTGAAAATAAATAAATATAAAACAAATAAAATGGGGATAAAAATAGTACACACCTCATGGGACTGTTGTGGCTTGAATACGATGATGTTTGAAAAGTGCCTAGAACTATGCTTGGTATGGAGGAAGTATTGTGAGTGTTAAATATAATGGGGTTTTCCCCAGCACATGTAGATGAAACTTTGTTCTCAGCCCCTGCCCTCAGAGCCAAAGAGTAGTGGGCAGAGCTACATCCACAAGTGTGAGTGCATGAGGAGAAGGTGGGCACACGAGCACCCACACCCCCACTCACACACACTCATGCAAACCACACAGCAGTGGGGACCTTGGCAGCCCCCACCTAGCAGCTGCTGCCCCAAACAGGACCTTTCCAGGGTCCAGCCCTCACCTTTACCCAACAAGAAAGAGACGCTGTGGTGGTTTTCAGAGCCAGTCAGGGACTAGGGAGGGGTTCTTGAGGCCAGAACTCCCAGGAGTTGGGCAAGTCAGGGAGGCTAGGTGTTAGCCAGGAGAGCAGCATTAGAATATATCCAACTGGCCAGGTGCGGTGGCTCACACCTCTAAAACCAGCTACTGGGGAGGCTGAGGTGGGAGGATGGCTTGAGGCCAGGAGTTCGACGCTGCAGTGAGCTACGATCGTGCCATTGCACTCCAGACCGGGCGACAGAGCAAAACCCTGTCTCCAAAAAAAAAAAAAAAAAAAGAAGACATCATGCTGAGTGAAATTACCCAGATGCAAAAGATAAATATTGATTGTATGATTCTACTTATATGAGATTTATAGAATAAGTGAATTTTTTAATTAATTATTAATTTTAATTTTATTTTATTTATTTGTTTCTTTTTGAGACGGAGTCTCACTCTGTCACCCAGGCTGGAGTGTAGTGGAACGATCTCAGCTCACTGCAACCTCCACCTCCTGGGTTCAAGCGATTCTCCTGCCTCAGCCTCCCGAGTAGCTGGGATTACAGGCACGTGCCCCCCACGCCCAGCTAATTTTTGCATTTTTAGTAGAGATGGGATTTTGCCATGTTGGCCAGGCTGGTCTCGAACTTCTGACCTCAGGTGATCTTCCTGCCTTGGCCTCCCAAAGTGCTGGGATTACAAGCCTGAGCCACCGCGCCCGGCCATTTATTTATTTTATTCATTCATTTATTTATTTATTTATGAATGACAAGGTCTGGCTCTGTCACCCAGGCTGGAGTACAGTGGCACAATCTCAGCTCATTGCAATTTCCTTCTCCCAGGTTCAATCCATCCTCCCACCTCTGCCTCCCGAGTAGCTGGGACTACAGGCACACGCCACCATGCTGGCTAATTTTTTGCATTTTTTGTAGAGACAGGGTTTTGCCACGTTGCCAAGGCTGGTCTCAAACTCGTGAGCTCAAGCAATCTGCCCACCTCAGGCCTTTCAAGGTACTGGGATTACAGATGAGAGCCACGGCGCCTGGACTAGAATATGTGAATTTACAGAGACCAAAAGTAGAATAGAGGTTAGGAGGGACTGAATGGGGGCGAGTGAGAAATGGGGTCATTGCTTAATGGGCACAGAGTTTCAGTTGGGGATGATGAAAAAGTTTCACAGATGGAGGGTGGTAATGGTTGCACAACGTGAGTGCATTTAGTACCTCTGAGCTTTACACTTAAAAATGGTTAAATTGAGGCCAGGCGCAGGGGCTCGCACCTGTAATCCCAGCACTTTGGGAGGCTGAGGCAGGCGGATCACCCGAGGTCAGGAGTTCAAGACTGGCCTGACCAAAATGGTGAAGCCCCGTGTCTACTAAAAATACAAAAATTAGCCGGGCGCGGTGGCTCACGCCTGTAATCCCAGCACTTTGGGAGGCTGAGGTGGGCGGATTACGAGGTCAGGAGATCGAGACCATCCTGGCTGACATGGTGAAACCCCGTCTCTACTAAAAATACAAAAACAAAATTAGCCAGGCATGGTGGCAGGCGCCTGTAGTCCCAGCCACTCGGGAGGCTGAGGCAGGAGAATGGCGTGAACCCGGGAGGCACAGCTTGCAGTAAGCTGAGATTATGTCACTGCACTCCAGCCTGGGTGACAGAGCAAGACTCTGTCAAAAAAAATACAAAATACAAAAATTAGTTGGGCGTGGTGGCACATGCCTGTAGTCCCAGCTACTTGGGAAGCTGAGGCAGGAGAATCGCTTGAACTCGGCAGGCAGAGATTGCAGTGAGCCGAGATCGCGTCACTGCACCCCAGTCAGGGCGACAGAGCAAGACTCTGTTTCAAAAAAAAAAAAAAGGCTAAATTGTAAATTCTATATTATTTTACCACAATTAAAAAAAAAGTAAATGGGGTTATTGTAATATCAGAACAGTGACAACATTCTAGATTCCCAGCTTCAGAGGCTGGTTAAATAAATTATGGTACCTCCAGGCCAGGCGCCGTGGCTCATGCCTGTAATCCCAGCACCTTGGGAGGCCGAAGCAAGCGGATCACCTGAAGTCAGGAGTTCGAGACCATCCTGGCCAACATAGAGAAACCCCGTCTCTACTAAAAATACAAAATTAGCCGGGCGTGGTGGCACATGCCTGTAATCCCAGTTATTTGGGAGGTTGAGGCAGGAGAATCGCTTGAACCCTGGAGGCGGAGGTTGCAGTGAGCTGAGATCCTGCCATTGCACTCCAGCCTGGGCAACAAGAGCGAAACTCCATCTCAAAAAAAAAAAAATTAAATTAATAAATAAATCATGGTACCTCCCTACAATGGGGCACCAGACAGCCCTGTACATGATGTTAGTCTATGTTGATCTGAAAGACGTTCAGAATTTGATGGTGAAAAATAAACAAGAGCCTACAAAATCCATGTCCAGGATAATTCCATTCAGATAAAAATAATAAAACACATCAAAGACAAACTTGTGAACTGGCCAGTCATAGCTTATTTGGCTGCTTTTTCTCGTGAATTCTGATACAGAAGCTTATTGGGGGCCAGGCGTGGTGGCTCACACCTGTAATCCCAGCACTTTGGGAGGCCAGGGCGGGCAGATCACCTGAGGTCAGGAGATAGAGACCAGCCTGGCCAACATGGTGAAACCCCGTCTCTACTAAAAATACAAAAAAATTAGCCGGGCATGGTGGTGGTGCCTGTAATCCCAGCTACTTGGGTGACTGAGGCAGGAGAATCCCTTGAACCCAGTAGGCAGAGGTTGCAGTGAGCCAAGATCGCACCACTGCACTCCAGCCTGGGCAACAAGAGCAAAACTCCATCTCAAAAAAAAAAAAAAAAAGCTCATTTGAGATGATTTTTAGTGGAGACCCTTCCAGAGTGGCTCCCATCAGAGTTTAAATTTATGTCCTTTTTTTAACAAAAGAAATGTCCAGCCTCACAGAATAGGAGGTGACAGGCTGGGCACAGTGGTTCACACCTGTAATTCCAACAGTTTGGGAGGCCAAGGTGAGAGGATTGTTTGAACCCAGGAGTTTGAGACCAGCCTGGGCAACAGGCCCCCATCGCTGCAAAAAAAAAAAAAAAAATTAGACAGGCATGGTGGTGGTGTGCCTGTAGTCCCAGCTACTCAGGAGGTTGAGGCAGGAGGATTGCAGGATTGCTTGAGCCAAGGAGGTTGAGGCTGTAGCGAGCTGTGATTGCATCACTGTACTCCAGCCTCAGTGACAGAGCAAGACCCTTAATCAAAAAAAAAAAAAAAAAGAAGGTCACAGGAAGTCACTCAGGAATCACTTTTTTTTTTTTTTGAAATGGAGTCTCCCTGTGTCACCCAGGCTGGAGTGCAGTGGTGCAGTCTCGGCTCATTGCAAGCTCCACCTCCCGGGTTCACGCCATTCTCCTGCCTCAGCCTCCTGAGTAGCTGGGACTACAGGCACCTGCCACCACACCCAGCTAATTTTTTGTATTTTTAGTAGAGACGGGGTTTCACTGTGTTAGCCAGGATGGTCTAGATCTCCTGACCTTGTAATCCACCCACCTCGGCCTCCCAAAGTGCTGGGATTATAGGCATGAGCCACCGAGCCCGGCCAGGAATCACTCTTCAGAAATCCCCAGGGAGTCATCTTTTATGTGATGAATCAATAAGGATGCTTTTGTCCGCAAGTAACAGCAGAAGTAACAGCAGCCAAACCAGGACATTCATTCGTTCTCTTGCACTGCAAATCAAGAAGTAGGCAGTTTCAGGGTTGATTAACTCAGTGGCTCCATGACATCATAAAAAACTCAGTGTTTTTCATCTTTCCCCCCTGAAATCTTTATAGTGTTGGCCTTTGATTACTTAATTAATTGCTATAAAACAAATCCCCCCAGAACTCATGGCTTTAAACAACAGTAGTCATTTATCTCTTGCATTTTTCAGTGGTCAGGAATTTGGGAGCAGCTGAGATGCAGGACTATGGCTCAGGGTCTCTTGTTGCCGTGAAGGGCTGCAGTCCCCTAAAGTCTTAACTGGGGCTGGGAGCTCTGTTTCCAAGGGGCCTCACTCACGTGGCAGGCAAGTTGGTGCTGCCTGTTGGCTCCTGTCTAGATGGGTCCCTCCACAGGACTGCTTGAGCATCCTCACGGTATGGTGGCTAGTTTCCTGCAGGGGGAACAATACATTAGGGACCAAGGCAGAAACTGCAACATCTTTTTTTTTTTTTTTTTTTTTTTTGAGACAGAGTCTTGCTCTGTCACCCAGGACGTAGTGCACTGGCACAATCTCCACTCGCTGCAACCTCCATCTCTTGGGTTCAAGCGATTCTCCCACCTCAGCCTCCTGAGTCACTGGGATTACAGGCGCATGCCACGACGCCCAGCTAGTTTTTGTATTTTTAGTAGAGACAGCGTTTTACCATGTTGGCCAGGCTGGTCTTGAACTCCTGACCTCAGGTGATCCAGCTGCCTCGGCCTCTCAAAGTGCTGGGATTACAGGCGTGAGCCACTGCGTCTGGCCTGCATCTTTCCTGACCTGGACTCCTAGGTCTGTACTCAGCTGCATTCCATTGGCCACACAGGCCAGTCTATGCTCTGTGTTCCCATACTCTCTGCTGCCCCTCCATGTGGAAGGGCATGAATACCAGGAGGGAAAGCTTGCGGGAGATCTTTTTTAAAAAAAGAAGATTTATGTATTTTATTCAAGCCAATTTTTTTTTTGTTTTGCTTTGTTTTTGAGATGTCGTTTTGCTCTTGTCGCCCAAGCTGGAATGCAGTGGTGCAATCTCAGCTCACTGCAACCTCTGCCTCCCAGGTTCAAGCAATTCTCCTGCCTCAGCCTCCCAGAAGTAGCTGGGATTACAGGCACTTGCCACCACGCCCGGCTAATTTTTGTATTTTTAGTAGAGACAGGGTTTCTCCATGTTGGCCAGGCTGGTCTCGAACACCTGACCTCAGGTGATACACCCGTTTCAGCCTCCCAAAGTGCTGGGATTACCAGCCTGAGCCACCACGCCCTGCCACGAGATCTTCTTGCAGGCTGGCTACCACAGTCTCCATCTTGAGGCTTGTCGTCTCACATATAAGAAGGTAGGAGATTCATCCTGAAATGTGTTCATGTGTATTTATTAGGGAGGAAAATCTGCCCTAGAAATTCCCCTGCTGGTGCTCCCTCACAGCCCACTGGCCAGGTTGAGTCACATGTCGGTGCCACGTCTGCAGGAGAAGCTGGGAAGGTGGGTGCCAGGGAAGTCTGCCTCTGTCTCTGAGGAAGAATGGGAAAGAAAGGGGCCACAGGGTAGCCGGGCGCAGTGGCTCATGCCTATAATCCCAGCACTTTAGGAGGCTGAGGCGGGCGGATCACTTGAGGTCAGGAGTTTGAGACCAGCCTGGCCAACATGGTGAAACCCTGTCTCTACTAAAAATACAAAAATTAGCCAGACGTGGTGGCAGGCGCCAGTAATCTCAGCTACTCGGGAGGCTGAGGCAAGAGAATCGCTTGAACCCAGGAGGCAGAGGTTGCAGTGAGCCGAGATTGTGCCACTGCACTCCAGCCTGGGGAGACAAGAGCAAGACTTCGTCTCGAAAAAAAAAAAAAAAAAGAAAGTGGCCACGGGATAAGCAGACCATGTCTTCGCAGATGGCTAACCACCTCTCAGCCTTGATGCTTGCAGGGCTGAAACGAGCTCCTGGTATGGATTCCCAAAGAGGAAGGGAAAATTTTAGGTTCTAGATCTAGAAGGTGGCAGATGTCAGAAGCTGTCCTAACCCAGGCCTCCTGGAGCTAGGAGTCACCCTAGATGGTGGAAAGTGTGCAGGAAATACAGCCACTGAACCCTGAGAACAGCAAGCTTGACATCTCAAGCCTAGAACCCTTCTCGCTGAGGTTAGCACGATTTCAAAAAGCATCGTTACCACCAAGTCCTGGGGACTGGTTACAACCAGGTTTCAATGGCGACACCATGTGGTCATGATGGGAAATAGCAGTCATGACCTATGCCCCGCATGGTGTAGGCTCTCAAAAGTTTCTGGGTGATACAGGGTGGTCTCAAGATCCTGAATGGTTTTTGTTTTTTTGAGACAGGGTCTCACTCTATCAACCAGGCTGGAGTGCAGTAGCAGTCATCACAGCTCACTGCAGCCTCCATCTCCTGGGCTCAAGCGATCCACCTGCCTCGACCTCTCAAAACGCTGGGATTACAGGCGTGAGCCACCACACCTGGCCCTGGATTTCTTTTTAATAAGGCATACACAGGCCCGGCGTGGTGGCTCACACCTGTAATCCCAGCACTTTGGGAGGCCAAGGAGGGTGAAACACGAGGTCAGGAGTTCGAGACCAGCCTCTACTAAACCACGCCTCTACTAAAAATACAAAAATTAGCCGGGCATGGTGGCACATGCCTGTAGTCCCAGCTACTTCGGAGGCTGAAGCAGGAGAATTGCTTGAACCTGGGAGGTAGAGGTTGCAATGGGGCAAGATTGCGACATTGCACGCCAGCCTGGGAGACAGAGCGAGACTCCGTCTAAAATAATAACAATAATAATAAGGCATACACAAGCATGAACAATTAATTGGGAAAATTAGAGTTATGATCATATTTTAGACCACATTGTGGAACTGGCCATATTTATAAAGTATGTTCATATAGTGAAAGTGTGGAAGGCTATATCTCAAAGGCTTAACAGTGTACTTATCTCAGGCTCATAGAACTATAGGTAAACTTTTTTCCTTTATTTCTTTTTTCTATCATTACATGCCAGTAATAACAATAGCAAACACTAACAGAGCACATACCATGTGCTGAGTGCCTGTTAATTGGCGATGATCATTATGCTGGCTGGGTGCGGTGGTTCACGCCTGGAATCCCAGCACTGTGGGAGGCCGAGGCAGGTGGATTACGAGGTCAGAAGTTCGAGATCAGCCTGGCCAATATGGTGAAACCCCATCTCTACTAAAAATACAAAAATTAGCTGGGCTTGGTGGTGCACACCTGTAGTCCCAGCTGTTCAGGAGGCTGAGGCATGAGAATCACTTGAACCTGGGAGGTGGAGGTTGCAGTGAGCTGAGATCGTGCCACTGTACTCCAGCATGGGCAACAGAGCAAGACTCCATCTCAAAAAAAAAAAAAATTCTCATTATGCTTACTTTTTGGCGGGGGCAGGCAGAGACAGGGACTCTTTCTGTCACCCAGGTTGGAGTTCAGTGTTGCAGTCATAGCTCGCTGCAGCCTTGCCCTCCTCGGCTCAAGCGATCCTCCCACCTCAGCCTCCTGAGTAGCTGGGACTACAGGTGTGCAACATCACATTTGGCTAATTTTTTATTTTTTATTTTGTTTTTTAAAGAGGGGGCCTCCCCATGTTGCCCAGGCTGGTCTCAAACTCCTGGGCTCAAGTGATCTTCCCATCTCGGCCTCCCAAAGTGCTGAGATTATAGGCGTGAGCCACCATGACCAGCTTATACTTACTTTTTACGCGAGGAAACTGAGACACAAGGAAGCTAAGTCAGTGCCCCATGTAGCTCTGAACTCTGTGCTCCCATCCTCTCTGCTGTACTGCCTCCCTGTCTTATCTGTGTATATTAATTTTTCTGCAGTGTGTCGCTTGCATAGTAATAATATAAGAAAAGAAAAAGCAGTGGGATGTATACCTTTTTCCACCCTCCCCCCCGCAAGACGGAGTCTTGCTCTGTCACCCAGGCTGGAGTGCAGTGGCGCGATCTAGGCTCACTGCAACCTCCGCCTCCTGGGTTCAAGTAATCCCCCTGCCTCAGCCTCCAGGGTAGCTGGGATTACAGGCACACACCACCACACCCGGCTAGTTTTTGTATTTTTAGTAGAGATGGGGTTTCACCATGTTGGACAGGCTGATCTCGAACTTCTGACCTTGTGACCTGCCTCCCTTGGCTTCCCAAAGTGCTGGGATTACAGGTGTGAGCCACCGCACCCAGCCTGATATATAGCTTTTATAATCAGAAAAAAAATAATGCTGGCTGGGCATGGTGGCTCATTCCTGTAATCCCAGCTTTTTGACAGGCTGAGATGGGAGGATTGCTTGAGCCCAGGAGTTCCGAGACCAGCCTGGGCAACATAGCAAGACATTGTCTCTACAAAAAAAAATTTTTTTTTTAATTAGCCAGGCATGGTGGCATGCACCTGTAGTCCCAGCTACTCAGGAGGCTGAGGTGGGAGAATTGCTTAAGCTCAGGAGTTTGAAGGTGCAGTGAGCCATGATCGCACTACCGTACTCCAGCCTGGAGCACAGAGTGAGACACTGTCTCTAAATAAATGAAGAAATAAAAATAAAAAATACACCACGTGCTGTGGCTCATGCCTGTAATCCCAGCACTTTGGGAGGCCGAAGCAGGCAGATCACCTGAGGTCACGAGTTCGAGACCAGCCTGGCCAACATGGTGAAACCCCACCTCTACTAAAAATATAAAAATGAGTGCGGGCTTGGTGGTGTGCACCTGTAATCCCAGCTACTCAGGAGGCTGAGATAGAAGAATCACTTGAACCCAGGAGGCAGAGGATGCAGTGAACCGAGATCGTGCCATTGCACTCCACCCTAGGTGACAGAGCCAGACTCTGTCTCAAATAAATAAATAAAATGAAATAAAAAATAATGCTTTGAAACTAAACAAAATGTGCAAATGATGTGTGCTTTCCACACAGCTCCAGAGCTCAGGACTGTGGGTGCCACATGGATGTAGCTACGCCAGAAAGGTCAGGAATTTGTGCCTGCAAAGGCCCAGTTTGCCTCTTCGCCTGGGCTCTCCTGATTTGACAGCAGTGTGGAAGGCCGGGCATGGTGGCTCACGCCTGTAATCCCAGCACTTTGGGAGGCCAAGGCAGGTGGATCGCGAGGTCAGGGGATCAAGACCATCCTGGCTAACATGGTGAAACCCCGTCTCTACTAAGAATACAAAAAATTAGCTGGGCGTGGTGGCGGGCGCCTGTAGTCCCAGCTACTTGGGAGGCTGAGGCAGGAGAATGGCGTGAACCCGGGAGGCAGAGCTTGCAGTGAGCCGAGACTATGCCACTGCACTCCAGCCTGGGCGACAGAGCGAGACTCTGTCTCAAAAAAAAAAAACACAAGACAGCAGTGTGGAAAATCTCCCTTTTCCTTTGGAATCTATAAATATAGGGACCCACAGTTATTAGGGACCTAGCTTTGGTGAGCAGTGGGCCAAAACTGGGAACAGAGATTGGAATGAGAGGGCCTGGCAAACTGAGGGGAAGCTGGGAAAAGAGAAGCAGGGAAAGGGAAAGAGGAAGTGGACAGAGATAGATGAAAAGGAGAAAGAGAATGCTCCAAACTCCCTCCATCCCCAGCTTTCTGAACTTTCAACACTCACCCCATGGGCCTGTTGATGCCACCTCCTACTAGTGCAAACTTCACACATCACCTCCTCCAGGAAGCTGCCAGGCTTGGCTAAGCCTTTTGGCTTGGCTTATCTTTATTATGACACTTACTGCTCATCATTAGGATTTTCTGTCTCCTTCACTGGTCAGTGAGGCTCTCGAGGGAAAGGAGGCCTTTCTGCCTCCCGCTGACCCAGGCCTTGTAGAGAGCAGGAAGACAAAACAGGTGCTCTGAATGAGTGAATAAATCTAGCTTCTCAGGCCATCAGCCTCACCAGCCTGGGAGTAATAGGCTCTGAATTTCGGCAAAGGATGCTCTGGCCTACATCAGTAAAATAGCTAGAACTGTATCCCCAGTCGAAAATATGGGCTGGGTGCGGTGGCTCACGCTTGTAATCCCAGCACTTTGGAAGGCCAAGGCAGGCGGGTCACCTGAGGTCAGAAGTTTGAGACCAGCCAGACCAACATGGTGAAACCCCATCTCTACTAAAAAATACAAAAACTAGCCAGGTGTGGTGGCATGTGCCTGTAATCCCAGCTACTTAAGAGGCTAAGGTGGGAGAATTGCTTGAACCTGGGAGGCGGAGGTTGCAGTGAGCTGAGATCGTGCACCACTGCATTCCAGCCTGGGTGGCAGAGCGAGACTGTGTCTCAGAAAAAAAAAAGAAAAAGAAAATCTTGCATTCACTTGGAACAGTCTTTCAAACGCATGGCCCCTGGATGCTCTCTGTACACAGGGGCATCTCTGTGGGGCAGCCAGTGTCTTGCAGGGATCCAGGGTTGTAGTGTTGACACCCCCTCTCCCTTTCCTTAGACTAAGGACCAAGGAGCAGAGGACAACCCGCACGGTGGGCCAGTGCTACAAACCGCATCACTCTGCTCTCCAGCACCAGAGGTTTGCACCAACCAAGGCTGAGGACCTCTTTCTCTCCTTATTTGGGGTGAATTCTTTTTTCCAGGAGGCAACCTAGACCCCTCATGTGAATAGGCAACATCTGTTTCCCACATGTAGCTAACCATAAGTGAAGGCCACGGGAGGGCACAGCTGAGACTCCAGCCTCAACTCTCACTACCAAAGAAAGAACCTGAAGACCCAGGGGACAAGCTCAGGCTCTGTCCCAGCTCTGCCTCCCTATGCTCCTGGCTGCAGCTGCAACACCCATTTCACCAGACAGAAGAGGGAGTCCCTGGCCCCAGCTCCAGGTTAGACCATCTCACCACAAGCCACTGGAAAGAAAAGGCCCTTACAGCCAAGAGAGCAGGCCCCCAAGAAGGCATCTGCCTCCATCTTGACTACACTCACCTGGGAGCTAAGGAAGCAAGGCGACGGCTGTGGTCCCATAACAGGCAGCTTGAGCTAGTTGTCTGTTGCTGCTTAGTAAATTACCCCAAAATTTAGGGGCTTAAAACAATAATAAGAATTCTATTATTATAAAAATGATACACCTGGCCAGACGCAGTAGCTCACACCTGTAATCCCAGCACTTTGGGAGGTCGAGGAGGGCAGATCACCTGAGGTCCTGAGTTCGAGACCAGCCTGACCAACATGGAGAAACCCCATCTCTACTAAAAATACAAAATTAGCTGGGCATGGTGGTACATGCCTGTAATCCCAGCTACTCAGGAAGCTGTGGCAGGAGAATCACTTGAACCCAGGAGGTGGAGGTTGCAGTGAGCTGAGATCACCCCATTGTACTCCAGCCTGGGCAACAAGAGTGAAGCTCTGTCTCAAAAAATAATAATAATAAAAAGATACACCACAGGCCGGGCATGGTGGCTCACGCCTATAATCCTAGCACTTTGGGAGGCTGAGGCGAGTGGATCACCTGAGATCAGGAGTTTGAGATCAGCCTGGCCAACATGGAGAAACTCTGTCTCTACTAAAAATACAAAAAATTAGCCAGGCATGGTGGTGCACACCTATAATCCCAGCTACCCGGGAGGCTGAGGCAGGAGAATCGCTGGAACCCAGGAGGTGGAGCTTGCAGTGAGCTGAGTTCGTGCCATTGCACTCCAGCCTGGGCAACAGAGTGAGACTCCGTCTCAAAAAACAAAAACAAACAAAAAAGAATGATACACCATGATCACGTAGGATTTATCCCTGGGATGGGATGCCAGGTTGGTTTAATATCTGAAAGTCAATAAATGCAGTATATCACATCAATAAAATAACAAACAAGCCAGGCATGGTGGCACACCTGTGATTCCAGCTTCTCAGGAGGCTGAGACAGGAGAATCGCTTGTGCCCAGGAGGCGGAGGTTGCAGTGAGCCATGATTGTACCAATGCACTCCAGCCTGCGTGACAGAACGAGACTGTATTAAAAAGAAAAAAGAAAGAAAAAAAAAATCTCATTATCATTTAATAGATGGAGAAAAAGCATTTGACAAAATCCAACACCCTTTCATGATAAAACTTTCAAATTGGAATAGAAAGGAACATCCTCCACCTGATACAGGGCACCTATAAAAAACCCACAGCTAGCATCATACTTAATGATGAAAGACTGAACACTTTCTCTCCAAAGTCAGGAACAAGACAAGGATGTCTGCTCCTACCACTTCTATTCAACAGTGTACTGCAGGCTCCAGCCAGGGCAATTAGGACAGAAAAAGAAATAAAAGAGTACCCAAATGGAAAAGGAAGAAGCAAATATAAGCAAGTATAATCCTGTATATAGAAAAGCCTAAGGAATCCACTAAAAGATTATTGGAACTAATAAGTGCATTCAGCAAGGTTGCAAATACAAGATTGATACACAAAGATTATATATATATATATATATATATTTTTTTTTTTTGAGACAGAGTTTTGCTCTTATCGCCCAGGCTGGAGTGCAATAGCACGATCTCGACTCACTGCAACCTCTGCCTCCCGGATTCAAGCGACTCTCCTGCCTCAGCCTCCCGAGAAGCTGGGATTACAGGCACCCACAACCACGCCCGGCTAATTTTTGTATTTTGGGTGGAGACGGGGTTTCACCATGTTGGCTAGGCTGGTCTCGAACTCTCGACCTCAGGTGATTTGCCCGCCTTGGCCTCCCAAAGTGCTGAGATTACAGGTGTAGCTGGGCATGGTGGCGCAAGCCTGTAATCCCAGCTACTCAGGAGGCTGAGGCAGGAGAATCGCTTGAACCCAGGAAGCGGAGGTTGCAGGGAGCGAGATCGTGCCATTGCACTCCAGCCTGGGCAACAAGAGCGAAATTCCATACACACACACACACACACACATACACACACACACACACATTAGCCAGATGTGGTGATGGGCGCCTGTAATCCCAGTTACTCGGGAGGCTGAGGCAGGAGAATCACTTGAACTCTGGAGGCAGAGGTTACAGTGAGCCAAGATCGTGTCATTGCACTCCAGCCTGGGTGGCAGAGTGAAACTCCAAAAAAAAAAAAGAAAGAAGCCGGGCGCGGTGGCTCACGCCTGTAATCCCAGCACTTTGGGAGGCCGAGGCGGGCGGATCACGAGGTCAGGAGATTGAGACCATCCTGGCTAACACAGTGAAACCCTGTCTCCACTAAAAATACAAAAAATTAGCCGGGCGTGGAGGCGGGCGCCTGTAGTCCCAGCTACTCGGGAGGCAGAGCTTGCAGTGAGCGGAGATCGCGCCACTGCACTCCAGCATGGGAGTCAGCGAGACTCCGTCTCAAAAACAAAAAAAAAGAAAGAAAGAAAGAAAGCGGGAAGGCAGGAGAGACAGAGAGAGAGAAAAACAGAGAGAGAGAGAAGGGAGGGAGGGGGGAGGGAGGGAGACAGAGAGAGAGAAGGAGAGGAAGGGAGGGAGGGAGGGAAAAAGAGAAAGAAAAAAGAAAAGAAAGGAAAGGAAGGAAGGAAGGAAGAAGGAAAGAGAAAGCAAGCAAGCAAGCAAGCAAGCAAGCAAGCAAGCAAGCAAGCAGGTCGGCACTGGGACTTCTCCACGGGATGCAGTGATGTGAGTGGACAAACTCAAGTTTCTGGCAGCCCTCGAGGCAAGTCCCAGGTCTGATGCCCGGTGGCCACCAGGTGGCGCTGAAGTCTAAGCTGAGAACCTTCACTAAGGGGCCGTTCCGTGGCAGGGCCGAAGCGTCCACCAAGAGACGCTCCAAGAACACTTGGCTTCAGCGTTTGCCTTCTAGGGGCGACCTTGAAGTGGGGGAGGGGTCTCCAGTGAGAGGCATCAGGCATAGGACCAGGGGCCGGACCCTGCGTTGTCTCTGGCCTCGGTCTTCTCATCTGTCCATAGGGTGTGGATTCACTGTCCAGGTTCCTCTAGCTCAGACCCTTCCTCTGTGGGCAGAATCAGGGCAGGAGGAAGGAGGACGGAAAAGGGGAAGAGGCTCAACTTTCCTCCTCTCTTCTGCTCTCCAGGGCCCTTCCCTTGGGGCAAGGACATGTGGCTTCCGGGGTGTGTTCCTGGTGCCCACACATTCGAGAACTTGCCATTGACAGGCTATAGGCATTATCATTCTGCTGTGATGAGGTGGAAACAATTGTATCCCATCGAAGTCATCTTGCAGGGCTTGGGGAACTCGTGGAAGAGGTGGGGAGGTGGGGAAATCAATCTTTTTTTTTTCTTTTTTTCTTTTCTTTCTTTCTTTTTTTTTTTTTTTTTTTTTTTTGAGACGATGTTTCGCTGTTGTTGCCCAGGCTGGATTGCAATGGCGCGATCTTGGCTCACCGCAACCTCCTCCTCCCGGGTTCAAGTGATTCTCCTGCCTCAGCCTCCCAAGTAGCTGGGATTACAGGTGCCTGCCACTACACCCTGTTAATTTTGTATTTTTAGTAGAGATGGGGTTTCTCCATGTTGGTCAGGCTGGTCTCAAACTACCGACCTCAGGTGATCCACCCGCCTCGGCCTCCCAAAGTGCTAGGATTACAGGCGTGAGGCACCGCGCCCAGCCAGAAATGTATTTTTTTAAACAAACAAATGTGAAAACCGTTATTAGTTCAGGGGCCAAAAAAAAACAAAAAAAACAGGCCATCAGCCATGCTTCCAGCAGGCCAGAGTTCACAGACCCTTGATATAGAGGAAAACTCATGATAAGCCACTTGGGATCTCAAGTATTCATTTAAGAGAGGAGACTCAGGGAAAGATGCTGACCCGTGAAGGTCATCACTTTCCTTCCTTAATGCAAAACACACACGTACAAAAAACACGGGCCATCATCTGCTGCGCATGCGTCCAAGGCAGAGCTCCGCTTGGCCCAGAAGCCCAAGACCGCAAATCACCAGCAAGAATGCATTTTACTGCACACATCAAAGGTGGAAATGGGTAAAGTTGGCCGGGCGCAGTGGCTCACGCCTGTAATCCCAGCACTTTGGGAGGCCGAGGTGGGTGGATCACTTGAGGTCTGGAGTTCAAGACCAGCCTGGGCAACATGGCAAAACCCTGTCTCTACTAAAAATACAACAGTTAGGCCAGGCGCGGTGGCTCACGCCTGTCATCCCAGCACTTTGGGAGGCCAAGGTGGGTGGATCACGAGGTCAAGAGTTAGAGACCAGCCTGGCCAATATGGTGAAACCCCGTCTCTACTAAAAAAATACAAAAATTAGCTGGGCATGGTGGCGCACGCCTGCAATCCCAGCTACTCGGGAGGCTGAGGCAGGAGAATCGCTTGAACCTGGGAGGCGGAGGGTGCAATGAGCTGAGATCGTGCCACTGCACTCCAGCCTGGGCAACACAGAGAGATTCTGTCTCAAAAATAATAATAATAATAATACAAAAATTAACCAGGTGTGGTGGCAGGTGCCTGTAATCCCAGCTACTCAGGAGGCTGATATGGGAGTATTGCTTGAGCCCAGGAGGTCAAGACTGCAGTGAGCCATGATCACACTACTGCACTCCAGCCAGGTGACAGAGTGAGACCCTGTCTCAAAAATAAATAAAAATAAATTAGCTGACCATGGTGGTACACACCTGTAGTCCCAGCTTCTCGGGAGACTGATATGGGAGAATCCCTTGAGCCCAGGAGGTTGTTGAGGCTGCAGTGAGTGAGCTATGACACTGGGTGACAAAGCAAGATCCTATCTCAAAAAAAAAAAAAAAAAAAGTGGAAGCACCTCGTACGCCCAACTGAAGAATAGATAAACAAATTGAGGTGCTTCTGATGTATCCACACAATGGAATGGGCATAAAAAGGAATGAAGTACTGCAACATGCTACCATTTGAATGAACCTTGAAAATATTAGGTGAAGTGAAAGAAGCCACTCAGAAAAGGCCATATATATATTTTTTTTTTTTTTTTTTTTTTTTGAGACAGAGTCTGGCTCTGTCACCCAAGCTGGAGTGCAATGGCGCAAACTCAGCTCACTGCAACTTTCTAGGTTCAAGTGATTCTCCCTGCCTCAGCCTCCCAAGTAGCTGGGGTTACAGGCATGCACCACCATGGTCAGCTAATTTTTGTATATTTTTTAGTAGAGACAGGGTTTCGCCACGTTAGCCAGGCTGGTCTCGAACTACTGACTTCAGGTGATCTGCCTGCCTTGGCCTCCCAAAGTGCTGGGATTACAGGCATGAGCCACTGCACACAGCCAAGGCCAGATACTATGTGATTCCATATATATATCAGCATTATTGAAATATAATGTGCATACCATGTTCATTTAAGGTGTACAATTCAATGTTTTTTGGCATACTCACAGGTCGGTACAACCATGACCACAATCAACTTTAAAACATTTTCAGCTGGGATCAGTGGCTCATGTCTGTAATCCCAGCACTTTCAGAGGCCGAGGCAGGTGGATCACTTGAGCTCAGGAGTTCGAGACCAGCCTAACCAACATGGTGAAACCCCGTCTCTATTAAAAATACAAAAATGAGCTAGGTGTGTTGGCAGGTGCCTGTAGTCCCAGCTATTCAGGAGGCTGAGGCAGGAGAATCTCTTGAACCCGGGAGGCGGAGGTCGCAGTGAGCCGAGATCACCCCACTGCAATTCAGCCTGGGCAACAGAGGGAGACTCCGTCTCAAAAAAAAAAAAAAAAATTCATTACCTCAAAAAAAGCCCTGTGCCCATTAGCAGTCACTCTCTACCTTCCCCCAACTTTTCCTCCCTCCCTGACCCTGGCAACGGCCAACCTACTTTCTGTCTCTGTGGATTTGCCTGTTCTGGACATTGTATATCAATGGAATTATACAATATCTGGCCTTTTAAGAGTGGCTCCTGGCTGGGTGTGTGGCTCATGCCTGTAATCTCAGCACTTTGGGAGGCTGAGGCAGGTGGATCGCCTGAGGTCAGGAGTTCGAGACCAGCCTGACCAATATGGTGAAACCCCATCTCTAATAAAAATGAAAAATTAGCCGGGCATGGTGGTGGGCGCCTGTAGTTCCAGCTACTGGGGAGGTGGAGACAGAAGAATTGCTTGAACCTGGGAGGCGGAGGTTGCAGTGAGTCGAGATTGTGCCACTGCACTCCAGCCTGGGCCACAGAACGAGACTCCTTCTCAAAAAAAAAAAAAAAAAAGAGTGGCTCTTTTCACTTGCCAAGATGTTCTCAAGTTTCATCCATGTTACAGCACGTCAGTATGATTCCTTTTTGTGGCCTAATCATATTCCACTGTGTGAATACACCGTAATTTGTTGAGCCATTCTTTGGTTGGACAGATGAGTTGCTTCCATTTTTTTGCTATTACGAATAATTGCTGCTACAAACATTCATGTCAAAGTTTTTGTGTGAGCATGTTTTCAATTTACTGGGTATATCCCTAGAAGGGGAATTGTCAGAGCAAATGGCAAATCTACATTTAACTGCTCAAGGAACTACCAGACTATTTCCCAAAGACGCTGCACCTGTTTTGATTCCCACCAGCAGCCTGCGAGGGTTTTGATTTCTTCAAATCTTTGCAATCATTTAAAAAATTATTTCTCTTTTTTATTCTAGCCATCCTAGTGGGTGTGAATTGGTATCTCACTGTGGTTTTGATTTGCAGTTCCCTGATCATTTATGATGTTATATCTTCTTCAGAAAGAAATGTCTATTCAAGGCCGTGCGCGGTGGCTCACGGCTGTCATCTCAGCACTTTGGGAGGCCGAGGCAGGTGGATCAGGAGGTCAGGAGTTCAAGACCAGCCTGGCCAAGATGGTGAAACCCTGTCTCTACAAAAAATACAAAAATTTGCCAGGCATGGTGGCGGGTGCTTATAATCGCAGCTACTCAGGAGGCTGAGGCAGGGAATTGCTTGAACCCGGGAGACGGAGGTTGCAGTGAGCTGAGATCGCGGGGCGGCACTGCACTTCAGCCTGGGTGACAGAGCGAGAGTCCGTCTCAAAAAACAAACAAACAAACAAACAAACAAAAGAAATGTATATTCAAATCTTTTGGCCATTTTAAAATTGGATTATTTGGGTTTTATTGCTGAGTTGTAAGAGTTTTTTGGTTTTTTTTTTTTTTGGTTTTTGTTTTTGTTTTTCTGAGACAGAGTCTCGCTCTGTCACCCAGGCTGGAGTGCAGTGGCAAGATCTCATTTCACTGCAACCTCCGCCTCCCGGGTTCAAGTGATTCTCCTGCCTCAGCCTCCCAAGTAGCTGGGATTACAGGCACGTGCCACCACACCCAGCTAACTTTTGTAATTTTAGTAGAGATGGGTTTTCGCCATGTTTGCCAGGCTGGTCTCGAACTCCTGACCTCAGGTGATCCACCCACCTCAAACTGCCAAAGTGCTGGGATTACAGGCGTGAGCCACTGTGCCCGGCCAAGAGATTTTTTTAATATATATTCCAGATACACATTTCTTATCAGCTACATGATTTGCAAAAATGTTCTCCCATTCTTCTGTGGGCTGTCTTTTCACTTGACATTTGCTTTATATGTGTTGAACATATATTATTAGATAATACAACTTGAGAATTGTTTCACCTTACTTTTTTTTGAGAGAGAGAAAGACGAGGTCTCCTTATGTTGCCCAGGCTGGCCTTGAACTCTTGGCCTCAAGCAATCCTGCCTCAGCCTCCTAAGTAGCTGGGACTACAGGCGTAGTCCCAGCACCCAGCTGAGGTTGCTTCAGCTTAGTAGCTTGTTCCTGTAATTATGATGTAAACACTATTGTTTTCCCTGATAACTATTGTTTGTCTTAAATACTATTTAGTTTGATACGAATATAGATACACTAGCTTTCTCTTGGTGAGTATTTTCTAGCCATTGACATTCAGCCTTCCATATCCTTGTTTGATGTGTGTCTTTTATAAACAGCATGAATCTAGATTTTTTTAAAAATCCAGTCTGACAGCCAATCTGGCCAAGTTGGTGCATTTGCAATTGCCGTGACTCAGGCTAACCAGTGGCGCCTGCAATCTGCCATGGGCCAGACAGGAGGAGGGAAAGCAGCCCTCATTTGTCAGGTGTTAGTTTTGTGGCACGCCTTGTGCGACGTGTCCCACAGATGGCCTTGCTCAGAGCTCATGCTGTGTTGACATAAACATCACTGCCCTTTTTATTTATTTATTTATTTATTTATTTATTTATTTATTTATTTATTTATTTTGAGACGGAGTTTTGCTCTTGTTGCCCAGGCTGGAGTGCCAATGGCATGATCTCGGCTCACTGCCAACGTCCCCCTCCCGGGTTCAAGTGATTCTCCTGCCTCAGCCTCCCGAGTAGCTGGGATTACAGGTGTGTGCTGCTACTACCCCCGGCTAATCTTTGTATTTTTAGTAGAGTCGGGGTTTCGCCATGTTGGTCAGGCTTGTCTCGAACTGCTGACCTCAGGTGATCCACTTGACTTGGCCTCCCAGAGTGCTGGGATTACAGGAATGAGCCACCCCACCCAGCCTTAATTTTTTTTTTTTTTTTTTTTTATGGAGACAGAATCTCACTCTGTCACCTAATCCAGAGCACGGTGGCACAAGCATAGCTCGCTGCCGCCTCAAACTCATGGCCTCAAGCGATTCTCCTGCCTCAGCCTCCCAAGTAGATGGAACTACAGGTATGTGCCAGCATGCCAGGCTAAATTCTTTAATTGTTTTGTAGAGACAAAGTCTTGCTATGTTGCCCAGGCTAGTCTCAAACGCCTAGCCTCAAGCCATCCTCCCACTAGGCCTCCAAGAATGTTGAGATAACAGCTGCGAGTAACAGGACCAGCCTGGGGGCTGTTTCTGAAACACTGACTTGTAAGTGGAGAATTTTTTTAATGTAATGCTTGAAAATATCCAGCCAGGCACGATGGCTCACTCCTGTAATCCCATCACTTTGGGAGGTGGAGGCTGGAACATCACTTGAACCCAAGAATTCGAGACCCGCCGGGGCAACACAATGAGACCCCCATCTCTAAAAATTAAAAATTAAGCTGGGCGCGGCGGCTCACGCCTGTAATCCCAGCACTTTGGGAGGCCGAGGGAAGCAGATCACCTGAGGTCAGGAGTTCGAGACCAGCCTGACCAACATGGTGAAACCCTGTCTCTACTAAAAATACAAAAATTAGCCGGGCGTGGTGGTGGGCACCTGTAATCCCAGCTACTCGGGAGGCTGAGGCAGGAGAATCGCTTGAACCCAGGAGGCAGAGATTGCAGTGAGCCAAGATCACGTCACTGCACTCCAGCCTGGGCAACAGAGCAAGACTCTGTCTCAAAAAAAAAAAAAAATTAGGCGTGGTGGTGCATGTGTGTGGTCCCAGCTACTCCTCAGGAGGGCACCACTGCACCCCAACCTGAGCAACATAGAGAGACCCTGTCTCAAAAAACACAAAAAGGCCAGGCGCAGTGGCTCATTCCTGTAATCACAGCACTTTGGGAGGCCGAGGCCAGCAGATAGCCTGAAGTCAGGAGTTCCAGACCAGCCTGGACAACAGGGAAAAACCCTGTCTTTACAAAAAAACAGCCCGGCGCGGGCTGGGTGTGGTGGCATCAGCCTGTAATCCCAGCTACTGGGGAGGCTGAGGCAGGAGAGTCGGCTTAAACCCGGAGGTGGAGGTTGCAGTGAGCCGAGATCACACCACTGCACTCCAGCCCAGGCAACAGAGCAAGACTCTGTCTCAAAAAAAAAGCCCGACAGGCGCCTGTAATCCCAGCTGCTCTGGAGGCTGAGACAGGAGAATTGCTTGAATCTGGGAGGCGGAGGTTGCAGTAAGCCGAGATTGCGCCATTGCACTCCAACCTGGGCAACAGAGCGAAACTCCATCTCAAAACAACAAACAAACAAACAAAAAACAAAACTCAGTCTAATTCTGCCCGCAGTTTTGTCCTGAGCTATTAATTATAAATGGCTTCTCTCTGCCTCAGCTTTTCTGAATTCCTTCCCTAATTCTGTCCCCATAAGCATGAGAACTTCTTCCAGCCTGGGTCCCACTAGTGGTCCTAGACAAACCCAGAAACCAGCTCCTGGGATGTGGTCTGGGCCTGGTCAAGGTTAATGGGATACAAGCTAATTATTGGGTGAGTGGGAATCATGGTCAAGGAGGGAGCCAAAGCCAGGGGCAGGCTATCAGTAGGAGTCAGGCCAGGCGCTGGGCAGGGAGTACAGAAGGTGAAGCCAGTGGTTCAGGAAGGGACACGGGAGACCAATGGAAGGGTCCTCCACCCCGCTGCCTGCAGGCATGGTCACTGCACAGAGGCTGTGGGAGGCCATGGCGTGGTCTGGCCCAAGTAGATGGACATGCATCTACATAACCCCAGTGTCCACCGACAACCAGCTGACCCCATCACTCAAAAAGAATGGCATTGAT
Source organism: Homo sapiens (assembly GCF_000001405.40). NCBI lineage: Eukaryota > Metazoa > Chordata > Mammalia > Primates > Hominidae > Homo > Homo sapiens. Next base: position 4,405,748 of record NC_000017.11, on the reverse strand, counting down.
TTTCTTGACCCCAAATGCCTCTGCTGGTGGGCAGAGCCCCAGGGAGACACTGAGTTCCCAGGAAGGGAACTGAAGCCAGTGTAGCTCCTGGGATTCCCAACTGCAACCCAACCTCTCCACCCACCTTGTCTCCTGGATTCCCTCCCCTCTCCTCCCCTCTCTTTTCTCTCCCCCAATCTCCCTGCACAGCTCACTACACCCATCGCTGGGCTGGTCAAAGTTCTCCCAGGGGATCTGTTTGCAGCTAGACATATGTGTACCTGTGAGTGATCATGCATGCCCGTGGTGCACACACATCCTCTTGTGTGCTGTATGTGCCTATACACACCCATGTGTGCCTGTACATGCGTGCAGACACCCATGTATGCGCAGATGGGCACGTACACAGTGTATATATGCACTGTGTGAGCCTGTGCGTGTAAGCTCCCCTGTCCCAACTCCCCAAGCCCAGATTAGCTGCCTCTACTGGGCTGACCTTGTCCTGACAGCCCCTTGGGACTGGGGGAGCTGCAGAGCCCTCCTTGCCCTCACCAAGAAACCAGGAGGCCCAGAGCATCCCCACCTTCCTGGAGAAGGTAAGAGGGAGGAACAGGCTGAGCAAAGGTGAGAGAGGAACATGTGGCTCCTCCGGGGAGTGAGTGAGGGCAGAAGAAGGATGTCTGGGGGAAAACATGTTTAAAGAGAAAAACAGTGAGTTAGGTTTAAGAGATGTTTTACATATATATATATAAATATATAAATGTTTATATATAAAAATATACAAATGTTTATATATAGAAATACACAAATGTTTATATATAGAAATATATAAATGTTTATATATAGAAATATATAAATGTTTATATATAGAAATATATAAATGTTTATATATAGAAATATATAAATGTTTATATATATAAACATTTATAAATAAATATAAACATTTATATATATAAATATATAAATATATAAAAATAAATATATAAATATATATAAATATATACATATATACATATATAAATATATACAAATATATATGAATATATATAAATATATACAAATATATATATAAATATATATAAATGTATATATAAATATATATATATATATGTATTTTTTTTTTTTGGAGACATTATTTAGCTCTTGTCGCCCAGGCTGGAGTGCAATGGCACAATCCCGGCTCACTGCAACCCCCACCTCCCAAGTTCAAGCAATTCTCCCGCCTCAGCCTCCCAAGTAGCTGGAACTACAGGCACGTGCCACCACGCCTGGCTAATTTTTGTATTTTTAGTAAAGACAGGATTTCACCGCATTGGCCAGGCTAGTCTCGAACTCCTGACCTCAGATAATCTGCCTGCCTCGGCCTCCTAAAGTGCTGGGATTACAGGCGTGAGCCACCGTACCCGGCCAAGAGATGTTATATTTGGAGGGCTCTTGGGACATCTATGTAGGGAGAAACCTGGAGCAAACTGAGATCTTGGAGCCTTGAAACCCAGGGCAGAGGGGAACTGACCCCAGACCCCAGCTTCAGGAGTGGACACAGAACCAGGGCCTCCCCAGCGTCTGAGACTTAGATTTAGTGTGGGTTTCCCCAAAGTAGACCCTGAAACAAGGACTTGGTTGTGGATAGTTTATTTGGGAGGTAATCCAAGGAAACACAAGTAAGGCAGTGGGGAAACTGAGGCAGGGAAGAAAAGCCGATGAAGCCTGGGCAATTGGTATTTAATCTTACTCTGACCCCTCTGAGGAGTTAAGACTTGAGGGGTTCGCCCCAGAAGAGGAGAAGCCGGTCCGACCAGTAAGAGAACTGCAGAAACAGCTGGGTGCAATGGCTCATGCCTGTAATCCCAGCACTTTGGGAGGCCGAGGCGGGCGGATCACGAGGTTAGGAGATCGAGACCATCCTGGCTAACACAGTGAAACTCCGTCACTACTAAAAAAGTACAAGCCAGGCGCGGTGGTTCATGCCTGTAATCCCAACACTTTGGGAGGCCGAGGCGGGTGCATCACAAGGTCAGGAGTTCGAGACCATCCTGGCCAACATGGTGAAACCCCGTCTCTATTAAAAGTATAAAAATTAGCTGGGCGTGGTGGCAGGTGCCTGTAGTCCCAGCTACTCAGGAAGCTGAGGCAGGAGAATCGCTTGAACCCAGGAGGCGGAGCTTGCAGTGAGCCGAGATCACCCCACTGTACTCCAGCCTGGGCGACAGAGCGAGACGCCGTCTCAAGAAAAATAAATAAATAAAAAATAAAGTACAAAAAATTAGCCGGGCGTGTTGGCGGCCGCCTGTAGTGCCAGCTACTCAGGAGGCTGAGGCGAGAAGGGTGTGAACCCACAAGGTGGAGCTTGCAGTGAACCGAGATCGCGCCACTGCACTCCAGCCTGGGCGACAGAGTGACACTCCGTCTCAAAAAACAAAACAAAAAAAACAAACAACCAAAAAAAAGAGGAGCTCTCCTGAGGACTTAACGCTCTTCACAGGGTCCACGAAAATCTGGAAAAGTACATGGGATCCTAAGAGCAGGAGGCAGGACAGGGAGATTAGGATTCTGGGGAGCTGTGTCCCTCTATCCCAACTGCCCTGACAGCCCCAATTTTGATGACCTGGTTGTGGCCAGAGGAGGAGGCCTCACCACTACCAGTGCTGCAGGAACTTGGGCCTCTGGGCACTAAGCCCGTGCTAATGAGCTGGTTCTTTTTTTTTTCTAATGGCACGATCTCGGCTCACTGCAACCTCCACCTCCCGGTTTCAAGTGATTCTCCTGCCTCAGCCTCCTGAGAAGCTGTGATTACAGGCGCCCACCACCACGCCCAGCTAATTTTTGTATTTTTAGTAGAGACGAAGTTTCACCATGTTGGTTAGGCTGGTCTCGAGCTCCTGACCTCTGGTGATCCACCCACCTCAGCCTCCCAAAGTGCTGGGATTCCAGGTGCGAGCCACCACGCCCAGCTCAGTGAATTTTTCTGTATATATATGCACCTGTGTGTACTAGTTTCCTGCGGTTGATATAACAAACTATCCCAAACTTGGTGTCTTAAAACAACATAAACATGGCCGGGCACAGTGGCTCACGCCTTTCATCCCAGCACTTTGGGAGGCCGAGGCCGGCGGATCACCTGAGGATGGGAGTTCGAAATCAGCCTAACCAACATGGAGAAACCCCGTCTCTACTAAAAATACAAAATTAGCCGGGCATGGTAGCTATGGAGGCTGAGGCAGGAGAATCGCTTGGTGAGCTGAGATCGCGCCATTGCACTCCAGCCTGGGCAACAAGAGTGAAACTTGGTCTCAAAAAAAGAAAAAAACAACCAAAACCATAAACGTATTCTCTCGAATGTTTTCTCTCCTGGGGGGCAGAAGTCTGAAGTTGGTATCGCAGGACTGAAATGGAGGTGTCAGCAGGGTCATGCTGTCTTCAAGGCTCTGGGAGAGTCCCTTCCTTGCCTCTTCTAGCTGCTGGCTGCTGGCAGTCCTTGGCTTGTGTCTACTTCGCTCCAATCTCTCTCCATCTTCACATTACCTTCTCTCCTTCTGTCTTCTCAAATCTCCCTCTGCCTCTCTCTTATGGGACACCTGTGATTGCATTTAGATTCATCCGGGTCATCCAGGATAAGCTCTCCATCTCAAGATCCTTAGCTATCACATCTGCAAAGACCCTTTTCCCAGATAGGGTAACATTGACAGACTCTAGAGCAGTACTCCCCAAGCTTTGTGGCACCAGTTCCTGTTTTGTGGAAGACATATTTTTCCATGGATGGGTGACGGGTGATGCGGGGGATGGTTTCAGGAAGATTAAAGCACATTACATTGATTGTGTACTTTAATTGTATTATTATGACATTGTAATATATAATGAAATCATTATACTTCACCATAATGTAGAATCAGTGGGAGCCCTAAGCTTGTTTTCCTGCATCTAGATGGTCCCATCTGGGGGTGATGGGAGACAGTGACAGATCATCAGGCATTAGGTTCTCATGAGGAGCGCGCAACCTAGATCCCTTGCGTGCCCGGTTCACAATAGGGTTTGTGCTACTATGAGAATCTAATGGCCCCAGTGATGTGACAGGAGACAGAGCTCAGGCAGAAATGTGATCGATGGGGAGCAGCTGTAAATACAGATGAAGCTTCGCTTGCTGGCCCACCACTCCACCTACTGCTGTGAGGCCTGGTTCCTAACAGGCCAGGGACTGTTAGTGGTCCGCGGCCCAGGGACTGGGGACCCCTGCTCTAGAGTTTAGGACCCAATATAGTTGGAGTCCATTATTCAGCCTACTATACAGTGTAACCGCCACCCAGATCAAGATACAAAAGAATCTTTTGCTGAGCGCGGTGGCTTACACCTGTAATCCCAGCACTGTGGGATACCAAGGCGGGTGGATCGCCTGAGGTCAGGAGTTCAAGACCAGCCTGGCCAACATGGTGAAACCCCTAAAAATACAAAAAAAAAATTAGCCAGGCTTGGTGGCGGAAGCCTGTAATCTCAGCTACTTGGGAGGCTGAGGCAGGAGGATCGCTTGAATTTGGGAGACAGAGGTTGTGCTGAGCCAAGATCATGCCATTGCACTCCAGCCTGGGCAACAGAGTGAAACTCTGTCTCAAAAAAAAAACAACAGATTCTCTTTATCCCAGAAAGTCTCCTAGACCACGGGTAACTGCTCTTCTGACTTGTAACACCGTAAATGAAATTTTCGTCTTTTTGAACTTCATGTAAAGGCATCATACTACGTCTGTATTAATCATACTGTGTATATGTATTTCTCTCAAGGATATCTGTGAGATTCATCCACATTGTTACCTGATTCAGATCTTTTTAAAAATTTTTTCTTTTTTTTTTTTTTTTGAGACGGAGTCTTGCTCTGTCACCCAGGCTAGAGTGCAGTGGCAAGATCTCCACTCGCTGCAACCTCTGCCTCCCGGGTTCAAGCAATTCTCCTGCCTCAGCCTCTCGAGTAGCTGGGATTACAGGTGCCCGCCACCATGCCCAGCTAATTTTTGTATTTCTAGTAGAGACAGGGTTTCACCATCTTGGCCAGGCACATCTCAAAACTCCTGACCTTGGCCGGGCGCAGTGGCTCACGCCTGTAATTCCAGCACTTTGGGAGGCCGAGGCGAGGTCAGGAGATCGAGACCATCCTATCCTGGCTAACACGGTGAAACTCCGTCTCTACTAAAAATACAAAAAATTAGCCGGGCGAGGTGGCAGGCGCCTGTAGTCCCAGCTACTCGGGAGGCTGAGGCAGGAGAATGGCGTGAACCCCAGAGGGTAGAGCCTGCAGTGAGCTGAGATCGCGCCACTGCACTCCAGCCTGGGCGACAGCAAGACTCCGTCTCAAAAAACAAACAAACAAACAAAACAAAAAAAACCCTCCTGACCTTGTGATCCACCTGCCTTGGCCTCCCAAAGTACTGGGATTACAGACATGAGCCACCTCGCCCAGCCTCTTTTTTTTTTTTTTTTTTTGAGACAGAGTCTCAGTCTGTCGCCCAGCCTGGAGTGCAGTGGTGCAATGTCGGCTCACTACAACCTCCGCCTCCCAGGTTCCAGCAATTCTCCTGCCTCAGCCTCCTGAGTAGCTGAGATTATAAGTGTGTGCTCCATGCCTGGCTAATTTTTGTATTTTTATAAAGATGGGGTTTCACCATGTTGGCCAGGCTGGTCTCGAACTCCTGACCTCAGGTGATTCACCTGCCTTGGCCTCCCAAAGTGCTGAGATTACAGGTGTGAGCCACCACACCCAGCTCTAGATAGCCTTTTAGATACAAATACTGCCTTAGTCCGTTTGTGCTACTACAGTGGAATGCCTGAGACTGGATAATTTATAAGAAACAGAAATTTATTTCTCATAGTTCTGGAGGCTGGGAAGTCCAAGATTAAGGTGGTGGCATCTGGTGTGGGCCTTCTTGCTGTGTCTTCACATGGCAGAAAGCAGAAGTCAAGCAGGGACAAATGCTGTGTTCTCACATGTCAGAAGAGTGAAAGGACAGAACCCACTTCTGTGAGCCCTTTTAATGGCAGCATTTATGTATTCATGAGGGCAGAGCTCTCATGACCTAAACACCTCCCACTAGGCCCTACCTCCCAACACTGTTGCATTGAGGATTAAGTTTCCAATTCACCAGGTGTGGTGGCTCATGCCTGTAATCCCAACACTTTGGGAGGCCGAGGTGGGCAGATCACATGAGGTCAGGAGTTCAAGACCAGCCTAGCCAACATGGTGAAACCCTGTCTGTACTAAAAATACAAAAATTAGCCAGGCATGGTGGCAGGCACCTATAATCCCAGCTACTTGGGAGGCTGAGACAGGAGAATCTCTTGAACCCGGGAGGCAGAGGTTGCAGTGAGCCAAGATCACACCATTGCACTCTAGCCTGGATGACAAGAGTAAAACTCCATCTCAAAAACAAAAACAAAAAAGTTTCCAATTCATGAATTTTGGGGAACACACTCAGACCATAGCAAATATACTACAATTTATTTATCAATTATCCTATTTCCAGTTTAGAGCTATTAAACAAAACTGCTGCAAACAGGCTGGGCACAGTGGCTCACGCCTGTAGTCCCAGCACTTTGGGAGGCCGAATTGGGTGGATCACTTGTGGTCAGGAGTTCGAGACAGGCCTGACCAACATGGTGAAACCCTGTCTCTACTAAAAATAAAAAAAAAATTAGCCGAGCATGGTGATGCACGTCTGTAATCCCAGCTACTCGGGAGGGCTGAGGCAGGAGAATCACTTGAACCCGGGAGGTGGAGGTTGCAGTAAGCTGAGATTGCACCATTGCACTCCAGCCTGGGCAATAAGAGCAAAAACTATGTCACAAAAACAAACAAACAAACAAAAAACTCTGGTCTTTGCACAGCCAGCTTTGCGTGAATTACTCTTTCTCCGTTGCAATTCCCCTGTCTTGATGAATCGGCTGTCTAGGCAGCGGGCAAGGTGATCCCCTTGGGCAGTTATACAACCAGCTTTCCATTTTGCAAACAGTCTAATGATCTTTACTTAGATTTTAAAAATCCTGTTTGACAATGATTATCTAATATATTTTTTTCATATCAAATGTTTCTATCCAGTGGGAATCTCTGAACTGGATTTTTCCAACATTATCTCCCTTTGCAGCAAATTTGAAATAAAAAATTTTAATCTGTGGTCATATAAGTACATCTTCTCACGTCCTCTCTTCCCACCACCTCTGACACATACCTACACTTTGATGATTATTATTATTATTTTATTTATTTATTTTGAGATGGAGTGTCTGCTCTTGTTGCCCAGGCTGGAGTGCAGTGATGCAATCTTGGCTCACTGCAACCTTCACCTCTCCGGTTCAAGCGATTTTCCTGCCTCAGCCTCCCGAGTAGCTGGGATTACAGGCACCAGCCACCATACCCAGCTAATTTTTGTATTTTAGTAGAGATGGGGTTTCACCATGTGGGCCAGGCTGGTCTTGAACTCCTGACCTCAAGTGATCCACCCGCCTCAGCCTCCCAAAGTGCTGGGATTACAGGCGTGAGCCACCTGCCCATCCAGAACTACAATTTTAGAGAGAGCCACTCACAAGAGAAAATTGGGCAAGGAAAAAAAACTAAAATTTTCAATGAAGAAACTAGAGGGTAGGGGTGGGGAGGCATATCCACAGCCTCATCTTTTTTTTAAATATTTCTGAAAGATCCCCCAAGGTTCCTTTAACAGTTTCCTGGCACTCCTTAAACCCTGATGGCCTAAGGCCGGGTGTGGTGGCTCATGCCTGTAAGCACACCTTGGGAGGCCGAGGTGGCAGATGACCTGAGGTCAGAAGTTCGAGACCATCCTGACCAATATGGTGAAACCCCGTCTCTACTAAAAATAAAAAATTAGCTGGGTGTGGTGGCAGGTGTCTGTAATCCCAGCTACTCAAGAGGCTGAGGCAGGAGAATCGCTTGAACCCGGGAGGTGGAGGTTGCAGTGAGGTGAGATCGTGCCACTGCACTCCAGCCTGGGAGACAGAGTGAAACCCTGTCTCAAAAAAAAAAAAAAAAAGAAAGAAAAAGAAAAAGGAAGAAAAGAAAAGAAAAATGGCTGGGCACGGTGGCTCACGCCTGTAATCCCAGCACTTTGGGAGGCCGAGGCGGGCGGATCACAAGATCAGGAGTTCGAGACCATCCTGGCTAACACGGTGAAACCCCATCTCTACTAAAAACACACACACACAAAAAAAATTAGCCGGGCATGGTGGCACGCACCTGTAGTCCCAGCTACTCAGGAGGCTGAGGCAAGAGAATCGCTTGAACCCGGGAAGTGGAGGTTGCAGTGAGCCAAGATCACGCCATTGCACTCCAGCCTGGGCAACAGAGCGAGACTCTGTCTCAAAAAACAAAAACAAAACCTGGTGGCCTAAAGGGCACCCCACCTCCTCCCGCCCCCTGCCCCACATGGCACGTAAAAAGGGGAAGAAAAACTCAAAAGCCCAAGTAGTCAGCAGTCTCTGCCAATGGCAGATCAAAACAGCAGTAAAAGATCTGCAACCAAACGAGATTTGATTTACATAAGTCTCATTTTGATCATATTTTCTCCAGCGTCTTACCCCACCCTGGACTCCCCCGGCAGGTGTCCCAAGCCCCTCCCCTCCAGTTTACTCCTAACCCATCTTGAGGGCCTGGGCTCCCAGTTCCCTCCCTCAAAGGATCCGTCGTCTTTCAGACCCTCCCTGAGAGCAGAGACTGGTTTACACCGCCTGGAATCCAGTCCAGCAGGTGGTGTCAGGAACTGTAACCGATGGCATGTTCGCCAACACTGGGGTCCTGCAGGCAGAGCTGGAACTGGCCACTGGGACCCAAGCCCTCTGTGCGCTGCCCAGACCCACGCTCAGAGCCTGTGACTTCAGGACCCTCATCTAGAAGCTCCTGGAAGTTGGCCCAGAAGGATCTGCCCAGCACCCACCCACCCACCCCAGCCATGTCCAGTGGGAGCACAGGAAACGTCCCAGGGTCTGCAGAGGGATCCTACAGACCATTCTCTCTCCCATCTGCCTTCTTTTTTTGTTTGTTTGTTTTGTTTTGTTTTTTGAGACGGAGTCTCGCTCTTGTTGCCCAGGCTGGAGTGCAGTGGCGCGATCTCAGCTCACTGCAACCTCCGCCTCCCGGATTGCAGCGATTCTCCTGCCTCAGCTCCCGAGTAGCTGAGATTACAGGCATGTGCCACCACACCCGGCTAATTTTTTGTACTTTTAGTAGAGATGGGGTTTCACCATGTTGGCCAGGCTGAGCTCCTAACCTCAGGTGATCCACTTGCCTCGGCCTCCCAAAGTGCTGGGATTACAGGCGTGAACCACCGCCCCGGCCTCCTTGTGCCTTCTTTGTCATTGTAATTAACTGCTGGGGATACCTTTTGTTAACGGTAGAAAGTTATGCAAATGACCGAAACTGGTATTGTTATTACTAAGAGGCGCTGGGTTTCAAAATCACTTTGAATATTCTAGCACCGAATCTTGTCTGTCCTGTGCCTGGGGGCCTGCACACACTGTCTTTTTCCTCCTTTGTGAACGGCAGGGTTGAGGCCTTCCTGTTCGAGAAGTGGGTGGTTTGCCAAGCTACCTGGGGTGTACATAGAACTTGAACTTTGGAGTCAGACTGGCAAAGGCTGGCTGCTTCCCCTGCGCCTTGGTTACCGTTTGTCCTTACACAAGTCACTTGGCTTCTTGGAGTCTCAGTTTTGTCATCTGTGGAAGAGGAGTGAACACCCTCCTTAGAGACAGCTGCCACGGTGACCATCTGCGAGCTGATGGAGGTAGAGTTCCTGGTGCCCTTTAGGGTGGCAGTTGTGTCGGTACTCCCGAGGACCAGGACCAGGTGGCCGTGGCTGTCTGGAACTGCTACGGAAGAACGGGCAAGGCTGCCAGATTTCGCAAATAAAAATACATGCACACGGTTAAATTTGAATTTCAAATAAGCAGCTAAATTTTGTTGTATAATTATATCCCATGCAGTATTTGGAATATACTTATACTGAAAAATTAGTCGGGCGTGATGGCTCACGCCTGTAATCCCAGCACTTTGGGAGCCCAAGGCGGGCAGATCACCTGAGGCCAGGAGTTCGAGACCAGCCTGGCAAACATGGCAAAATCCTATCTCTACTAAAAATACCAAAATTGACCGGTGTGGTGCTGCACATCTGTACTGCCACCTACTTGGGAGGCTGAGGAACGAGAATTGCTTGAACCCGGGAGGCAGAGGTTGCAGTGAGCCTCAATCGTGCCACTGCACTCCAGCCTGGGCAACAGAGCGAGACTCTGTTTCTAATAACAATAATAATAATAATAATTCCTTATCTGAAATTAAATTTAACTAAGTGTCCTTTTTCTCTTTCTTTCTTTTTTTCTTTTTGAGACAGGGTTTTACCCTGTCACCCAGGCTAGAGTGCAGTGGTGTAATCATGGTTCACTGCAGCCTCGACCTCCTGGGGTCAGGTGATCCTCCCACCTCAGCCTCCCAAGTAGGTAGGACTACAGGTGCAAGCCACCATTCCCAGCTACTTGTTGCTTTTTTAAAAATTTTTGGTACAGATGGGGTTTCGCCGTGTTGTCCAGGCTGGTAACTGAGTGTTACTGTATTTTATCTGGCTATCCTAAGAAAAGAGGTTAAAGTGCTTAGAATGGGGGTTCTTGCTGCCCCTGAGAGATATCTTCATTTGGGATTGGCAACTGTGGGAGAGAGAGGGCAAGAGCCACTGGAATAAACATGGGCCAGGGAGGCTGAGGCAGGAGAATCCTTTGAACCTGAGAGGCGGAGGTTACAGTGAGCTGAGATTGCGCTACTGCACTCCAGCCTGGGTGTCAGTGTGAGACTCTGTCTCAAAGAAAGAAAGAAAGAAAGAAAGAGAAAGAGAGAGAGAGAGAGACAGAGAGAGAGAAAGAAAGAAAAAAGGAAGGAAGGAAGGAAGGCAGGAAGGAAGGAAGGAAGGAAGGAAGGAAGGAAGGAAGGAAGGAAGGAAGGAAGGAAAGAAGGAAGGAAGGAAGGAAGATGGGCCAAAGGAGGAGAAGGATCTAGAATACCAAGGCCTGGAGAGGGCAATGACCTCCTGGCCTGGTTCACTACCTGCTGATCTCAAGCCAGCAGCAAACACACTCTGGAAGCCTGGATGGGGGCTAGGCTTAGCTGGACCCAGCTCTCCAGCCTCCAGCCTACATACTACCCCCTCCATCAGTCAGGAGCCCGCTCCCCAACCCATCCATCCCTGAGCCAAGAGACAGCATGGAAGGAGCTACACCAAGGTGGGAAACCTGGAGCAAAGCTAGCTCTGTGTTAATTAGCCTCCAAGGAACCAGATTACAGGAAGCCAGGAGCAGGACACACCCCAGAGGTAGTTTAACTTGCTGTGGCCAGACTGGCCACATTCACATCCTGGGTTGGACATGTGACTACCCCATTCCTTTAGCCTCTGGGAGGACATTCATCTAACAAACATTTCTTCATGTCCTTTGTCCATCCCACAAACAACCTCCAACTCACCCACCATCCAACTCTCCCTGCTCCCGGGGGTCACCTGTCTGCTTCTCTCCCTCGGTTCTATCTCACCCCATTGTCCCCAGTGGGGCCACCTCTGAGGATCTCTGGGTCCATCCGGCTGCTCGGCTCACTCATTTTCACTCTCCCCACCTGCTGCAGCCTCCTCCCCACTCCCCATCGGTTCCAGCTCAGTTCCAATAAAAGCAGGTCTCATCTTGCCATTCCCCTGCTGCAAATCTGCCCGTTTTGCATTGGAGGGTAAGTCCCAGCCCTCAGGGAGAGAAAAGCAGGACAAACCAGGATGTCTGAGTAAAACATGCCTCTTCCAGTCTCCCCAGATAAATGTTACTCATCCCAGGTGAGGGGCTGCAGGAGACAGCTCCTGGGAGGGCCGAGGGTCCCGGCTGCCAAGCCATCTTATCTGCAAGGTGGGGAGTAGAGACACAGTGCCTCAGCCTGGGGCCAGGGCCGAAGCCCACTCCACTTACAGACGGGCCTCTGGGTTTCTATTGCAGAGGCTCAATCTTTTTTTTGGAGTTGGGGGACAGCGTTTCACTCTTGTTGCCCAGGCTAAAGTGCAGTGACTTGATCTCAGCTCACTGCAACCTTCACCTCCCCAGTTCAAGCGATTCTCCTGCCTCAGCCTCCTGAGTAGCTGGGATTATAGGCGTGTACCATCACGGCTGGCTAATTTTGTATTTTTAGTAGAGATGGGGTTTCACCGTGTTGGTCAGGCTGGTTTCAAACCCCTGAAGTCAGGTGATGCACCTGCCTCGGCCTTCCAAAGTGCTGGGATTACAGGTGTGAGCCACTGCACCTGGCCAATCTTATTCATAATATGAAAAATGTATATTAAGGGGGAGGGGGATGTTTTATTTATTATTATTATTATTATTATTTGAGACAGAGTTTTGCCTTTGTTGCCCAGGCTGGAGTGCAATGCAATGGTGCGATCTTGGCTCACCGCAGCCTCCACCTCCCAGGTTCTTCAAGCGATTCTCCTGCCTCAGCCTCCCGAGTAGCTGGTATAGGAATGCGCCACCATGCCTGGCTAATTTTGTATTTTTAGTAGAGACAGGGTTTCTCCATATCGGTCAGACTGGTCTCAAATTCCGGACCTCAGGTGATCTGCCCGCCTTGGCCTCCCAAAGTGCTAGGATTACAGGTGTCAGCCACTGTGCCCGGCCTCTTATTTATTTATTTATTTATTTATTTATTTTGAGACGGAGTCTTGCTCTGTAGCCCAGCCTGGAGTGCAGTGGCATGATCTCAGCTCACTGCAACCTCCGCCTCCCGGGTTCAAGCAATTTTTGCCTCAGCCTCCCAGTAGCTGGGATTACAGGCGCCCACCACCATGCCCGGCTAATTTTTGTATTTTTAGCAGAGATGGGGTTTCACCATCTTGGCCAGGCTGGTCTTGAAGTCCTGACCTCATGATCCACCCTCCTAATTTTTGTATTTTTAGTAGAGATGGGGTTTCACCAACTTGCCCAGGCTCGTCTTGAACTCCTGACCTCAGGTGATCCGCCCGCCTCAGCCTCCTGAAGTTCTGGGATTACAGGGGTGAGCCACTGCTCCCACCTGGGGGATGTTTTAAAAATGTACATTAAAACTATGAGAAAGAACATTCCACTTATCAGATTGGCAAAACAAACAAAACAAAATCACTCAAGTGGGTGAAGGTGTCTGTTCTTTGCTTTTTGTTTGTTTGTTTGTTTGCTTGAGACAGGTCTCCTTCTGTCACCCAGGCTGGAGTGCAGTGGCACGATCATGGCTCACTGTAGCCTGAACTTCCTGTGCTCCAGAGATCCTCCTACCTCAGCCTCCCAGGTAGCTGGGTAGCAGGGACCACAGGCGCGTGCCCGCCACACCCAGCTAATTTTTATATTTTTTGTAGAGATGTGGTTTTGCCATGTTGTCCAGGCTGGGGATGAAGGTGTCTGAAACAGGCACTGCCACACCTTGTTTGTTGGTGGGAAAGTTAACTGGTACAACCCCTTTATGGGGCAAACTGGTAATATCTATCAAAAAATGAAATACACAAACTCTTTGTTCCAGTAATCCCACTTTCAGAAATTTACACTACAGGTACACAGGTAACCCAAGATATATATAATATGCACCAGGACAGTCATTGCAGCATTGTTTTCTTTCTTTTTTTTCTCTCTTTTTGAGACGGAGTTTCACTTTTGTTGCCCAGGCTGGAGTGCAATGGCGCGATCTCAGCTCACTGCAACCCCTGCCTCCCGGGTTCAAGCGATTCTCCTGCCTCAGCCTCCCAAGTAGCTGGGATTACAGGCATGCACCACCACGCCTGGCTAATATTTTTCTGTATTTTTAGTAGAGACAGGGTTTCTCCATGTTGGTCAGGCTGGTCTCGAACTCCTGACCTCAGGTGATCTGTCCACCTCAGCCTCCCTAAGTGCTGGGATTACAGGCGTGAGCCACCGCTCCCGGCTGCAGCATTGTATTTTTTTGAGACAGAGTCTTGCTGTGTCACCCAGGCTGGAGTGCAGTGGCGCGATCTCTGCTCACTGCAAGCTCCGCCTCCCGGGTTCATGCCATTCTCCTGCAGCATTGTTTTCATAGCTAAAGTTTGGAACTACATGGCAGCTGGTTAAATAAATTATGCTACAACCATCCAATTAAATATTATGTACTAATACAAAGAATGAGGCAACTAGGTACTAAAATTAAGTCATCTTAGTTAAGATATATGCAAAAGTAAAGTGCCAAACAGTAAATATAGCATGTAAATTTGGTGATTTAAAAACACGTAGGGGGCCAGGCATGGTGGTTCATGCCTGTAGTCCCAGCAGATCATGAGGTCAGGAGTTCGAGACCAGCCTGGCCAATATGGTGAAACCTCGTCTGTACTAAAAATACAAAAATATTAACCGGGCATTGTGGCATGCAACTGCAGTCTCAGCTACTCAGGAGGCTGAGGCAGAAGAATCACTTGTACCCAGGAGGCGGAGGTTGCAGTGAGCCATCATGCTTCTGCACTCCAGCTTGGGCAACAGAGTAAGACTCCGTCTTAAACAAACAAACAAACAAACAAACAGAAAAAGCATGTGACTGGGCACGGTGGCTCACACCTGTAATCCCACCGCTTTGGGAGGCAAAAGTGGGTGGATTGCTTGGGCTTAGGAGTTTGAGACCAGCCTGGGCAACATGGTGAAACCCTGTCTCTGAAAAAAAAAAAAAAAAAAAAATTAGCCAGGTGTGATGGTGTGCACCTGTAGTCCCAGCCACTTGGGAGGCTGAGGTGGAGCATCGCTTGAGCTCAGGAGGTGGAGGTTGCAGTGAGCCAAGACTCCAACCTGGGTAATAGAGCAAGATTCTGTCTCAAAAAAAAAAAAAAATTTATAGGCTGGGCGTGGTGGCTTATGCCTGTAAATCTAGCACTTTGGGAGGCTGAGGCGGGTGGATCACGAGATCAAGAGATGGAGACCATCCTGGCCAACATGGTGAAACCCTGTCTCTACTAAAAATACAAAAATTAGCTGGGCATGGTGACGGGCGCCTGTAGTCCCAGCTACTCGGGAGGCTGAGGCAGGAGAATCACCTGAACCCAGGAGGCAGAGGTTGCAGTGAGCCGAGATCGAGCCACTGCACTCCAGCCTAGTGACAGAGCGAGACTCTGTCTCAAAAAAAAAAAAAAATTTTATATATATACACACACACACACACACACACGTAAATGTTACATATGTATTAAATGTCTCTAGAAAGATAAATAAGAAAGAGGTAACAACAGTGGGTGTCCTAGGGTGAAGCACTGTGAGACCAGGGATAGCAGTGGGAGGGAGACTGAATTTTTGGTGCCTTTTGACTTTTATGCATATATTTCATATGTATACATGAAATATGTATTTCATATTTTATATGTAAAAAGTATATATGCATATGTAAATAATTTCAAAAGCAAGCAACTTTTCTCCCGCAGTGTTCCACTAGAGAAGATGATAAACATATTAAATAGCTGCATGGCCCTGGGCCAGGTCCTCCCTCTCCCTGGACCTCAGTTTCTCGTTTAGACAATGGGAGTTTTGGATCAGGAGACTATTCCTACACTCTTCCTAAATCTTACTTCTAATCAGCCAAATGAATACTGGTGCAGTGACCATAAGATAACATTTGGCTGGGCGCAGTGGCTCACACCTGTAATCCCAGCACTTTGGGAGGCTGAGGCGGGCAGATCACCTGAGGTCAGGAGTTTGAGACCAGCCTGGCCAACATGGTGAAACCCCGTCTCTACTAAAAATACAAAAATTATTCGGGTATGGTGGCACGCTTGTAATCCCAGTGCCACTCAAGAGGCTGAGGCAGGAGAATCACTTGAACTCAGGAGGTGGAGGTTGCAGTGAGCCGAGATTGCGCCACTGCACTCTAGCCTAGGCGACACATCCAGACTCCACCTGCAAAAAAAAAAAAAAAAAAAAGCCGGGTGCGGTGGCTCACACCTGTAATCCTAGCACTTTGGGAGGCCGAGGCAGGCAGATTGCCTGAGCTCAGGAGTTCAGACCAGGCTGGGCAACACGGTGAAACCCCGTTTCCACTAAAATAAAAAAAACTAGCTGGGCGTGGCAGTGTGCGCCTGTAATCCCAGCTACTTGGGAGGCTGAGGCAGAATTGTTGAACCCGGGAGGCAGAGGTTGCAGTGAGCAGAGATTGAGCCACGGCACTCCAGCCTGGCAACAGAGCAAGATTCCATCTAAAAAAAAAAAAAAGAAAATATTTGATGGCATGCAGGGGGGATAATATAAAATGACATTGTTGAAACCAGGATGCAGTGCCCATCACCCGAGGGACAGGGTCATTTCTCTGGCACCGAGCAGGAGCCCATAGGCAAAGCTGCATCTGCCTGGGCTGGTGGATCCTGACGGGGCCCTGCTAGCTTCTGTGGAGGGTCGGCTCCCCAGGCCTTGGCAGCTTCTCCTGCCTCTGCCCACTGAGGCCCTAGTCTGGCCCAGGGGCGGAGCTGAAGCCTGGCCTATCCCTGGCTTCCTCCTTACTCTATCAGGCTCTGCATAGTTTACCTGTCTGCCTGGACTCTCCTCCCCGCCTTCTTTTGCCCATTCAAAGGAGGTAGCTCTTGCCTCATGCTAAAGCTGGGATCCTACCCAGCTCCTTTCCTGAGCCAGGTCTATGCAGGTGGCTGGGAGACCCGAGATGCCCGGCCACAGCAATCTGAGGCCTCAGAGTACACACAAGACCCAGCCTCAGCAGGAAGCCACCTTGTTCCAAAGTACTGGGTCTTCCTCTTAATATAGTACTGGGCCTTTCTCTTAATATTAGAAGCCAAAGGAAAAATACACGGGAATCAGAGGAGTCAAAACTGGACACATTTCCTGCTCCTCATTCCCCCTTCTTTTCGTCCTAAGTTTGGAATCAGGACTTGAGTTCCTGTCCTAAATTAGCCCTGGCTCCCTGAAGAAGTCACTCCCCTTCTTGGGGCCTCATCTGCAAGAAGAGGGGCTTGGGCCCAGACAGCTACGTATTAACAGGTGTCTCCAGGTGGTTCCAATGCAGCTCGTCAGTGACAGGCTTTTTTTTTTTTCAGATAGAGTCTCACTCTTTCGCCAGGCTGGAGTGCAGTGGCGTGATCTCAGCTCACTGCAACCTCCACCTCCAGGTTCAAGCAATTCTCCTGCCTCAGCCTCCTGAGTAGCTGGGATTACAGGCATGCGCCACCATGCCCAGCTAATTTTGTTTTTGTATTTTTAGTAGAGACGGGGTTTCACTGTGTTAGCCAGGATGGTCTCAATCTCCTGACCTTGTGATCCGCCCGCCTCAGCCTCCCAAAGTACTGGGATTGCAGACATGAGCCACTGCGCCCAGCCTCTAGTGACAGGCTTTAAGAAGCAGCTGCGGCCCGGCACGGTGGCTCACACCTGTAATCTCTGCACTTTGGGAGACTGAGGCAGGCGGATCCCTTAAGGTCAGGAGTTCGAGACCAGCCTGGCCGACACGGTGAAACCCTGTCTCTACTAAAAATACAAAAATTAGCCGGGCATAGTGGTGGGCACCTGTAATCCCAGCTACTGTGGAGGCTGAGGCAGGAGAATTGCTTGAACCCAGGAGGCGGAGGTTGCAGTGAGCTAAGATCGTGCCATTGTGCTCCAGCCTGGGCAACAGAGAGACTCTGTCTCAAAAAAAAAAAAAAAAAAAAAGATAAAGGGCAAAAGGGCAAACCCAGTGTGTTGCAACAACTGGAATGAATCTTAAAATAATTATGCCAGCTTGGGCAACGTAGTCAGACCCCTGTCTCTACAAAACATTTCAAAATTAGCCAGGAGTGGTGGTATGTGCTGGTAGTCCCAGCTACCTGGGAGGCTAAAGCAGGAGGATTGCTTGAACCCAGGAATGTGAGGCTGCAGTGAGCCATGATTTTACCACTATACTCCAGCCTGGGAGACAGCAAGACTCTGTCTCAATAATAATAATAATAATAAATTAATTAATTAAAAATAAATAAATGGCCAGGCACAATGGCTCACGCCTGTAATCCCAGCACTTTGGGAGGCCAAGGTGGGTGGATCATGAGGTCAGGAGTTTGAGACCAGCCTGGCCAACATAGTGAAACCCCCATCTCTACTAAAAATACAAAAATTAGCCGGGTGTGATGGCGGGTGCCTGTAGTCCCAGCTACTCGGGAGGCTGAGGCAGGAGAATCGCTTGAACCCGGGAGGCAGAGGTTGCAGTGAGCCAAGATTGCACCACTGCACTCCAGCCTGGCGACAGAGCGAGACTCCATCTCAAAAAAAAATAAATAAATGAAATAAAAATAAATAAATAAGTACAATAATTATGCTGAGTGAAAGAAGACCAAAGAGAGTACATATGTTTGCTTTCATTTACAAAAAATTCTAGAAAGTGACAGAACGGGGATCAGAAAGTGGCTGGAGTGAAAGGAAAGAGAGAAAGATTACAGCAAGGCACAAAGAAACTTTTAGGTGTGATGGAGAGGTTTATTATCTTAATTGAGTGATGTTTTCGTGAGTGCTTACATATGTCAAAACTCGTAAGTTGTATGTCAATTATCAGGTCATTTTAAAAGGTGGTTATGAAGGAACACGTGTTGAGCATACCCTAAATGCAGCCAGACACTGAAGTTGCTTGTGGAAATCAACTGGATGCTTTTTTTTTTTTTTTTTTTTTTTTTTGAGATGGAGTCTTGCTCTGTTGCCCAGGCTGGAGTGCAGTGGCATGATGGCTCACTGCAACCTCTGCCTCCTGGGTTCAAGCAATTCTCCTGCCTCAGCCTCCCGAGTAGCTGGGATTACAGGCACTCGCCACCACACCCTGCTAATTTTTGTATTTTTTGGTAGGGACGAGGTTTCACCATGTGGGCCAGGCTGGTCTCAAACTCCTGACCTCAAGTGACCCACCAGCCTCGGCCTCTCAAAGTTCTGGGATTACAGGCATGAGCTGCTGCGCCTGCCCGTGGATGCTTTTAAGAACAAAGAAAAGAAAACCCAACTTGAAGTGAAACAAACAATAATAAAATGTACTATCTCATCTACCTGGAAAACCAGAGGCTACAGGTACAGTTTGACTGCTCCCCTCCTAGTACCAGACGCTATATTGAGCTACATCATGGAAGCCTCATAATTGTCACGGAACTTAGCTACAACAACAGAATCTACTCTAACTAGTTTAAGCAGCCAAGGAATGTATTTAAAGATATAAATGACTCACACAGTCTCTGAGAGGGATAGAGAATTGGGCTTGGAGGCTACTTGGCCAGGAACAATACCCAAATTTTGCTCCTGGACTGTTATCAGCACAGCCTCTGCTTTTTGCCATCAATAGCCACTGCAGCTCAAAAGTGGAAGGAGTATCTCTACTCCTGGGGCCTCCACTCCCACTGCCCTCAAAAGCTCTGTGTCAGCCAGGCACGGTGCCTCACGCCGGTAATCCCAGCACTTTGGGAGGCCGAGGCAGGTGGATCACAAGATCAGGAAATTCAGACCGTCCTGCCTAACACAGTGAAACTCCGTCTCTACTAAAAATACAAAAAATTAGCCAGGCGTGCTGGTGGGCACCTGTAGTCCCAGCTACTTGGGAGGCTGAGGTAGGAGAATCGCATGGACCCAGGAGGCGGAGGTTGCAGTGAGCCGAGATCGTGCCACTGCACTCTAGCCTGGGTGATAGAGACTCTGTCTGAAAACAAACAAAATAAACAAACAAAAAAATCTCCGTGTCTCTACAGCATTCTCATCCTCGTACAGCTCACCTCTGAATGGATATCAGCTGCATCTGATTGGATGAGCCTACACTGTATGCCTGAGTGCTAGGGAAGCTAGGTACAGGAGTCTAGCTTCTACCTTGGGGAGGCAGAACTCATCATGTCTTGACATAGAATGGGTTTTCAAAAAGATTCTGAATGGCCAGGCGCGGTGTCTCACACCTGTAATCCCAGCACTTTGGGAGGCAGAGGCGGGCTGATCACTTGAGGCCAGGAGTTTGAGACCAGCCTGGCCAATGTGGTGAAAACCCATCTCTACTAAAAATACAAAAATTAGCTGGGCGTGGTGGCACACACCTGTAATCCCAGTTACTCGGGAGGCTGAGGCAAGAGAATCCCTTGAACCCAGGAGGCGGAGGTTGCAGTGAGCCGAGATCGGACTACTGCACACCAGCCTGGGCAACAGACAGAAACTGTCTCAAAAAAAAAAAAAAAAAAAAGATGCTGGGTGATGATAATATTAAAAAGGTCCACTATAAACCCTATTAGAGACTATCCCAGCCTGGGCAACATGGAGAACTCCATCTCTACAAAAAAGACAACATTTAGCCAGGTGTGGTGGCAAGTGCCTATAGTCCCAGCTACTTGGGGGACTGAGGCTAGAGAATTGCTTGAACCCCGGGGGGTCGAGGCTGCAGTGAACTATGTTCCTGCCACAGCACTCCAGCCTGAGTAACAGAGTGAGACCCTGTCTCAAAACAAAACAGAGAAAACAAAAAAAGAAAGAAAAACTAGGAAACAAAGAAAAATCAGAATGATGTACCTCTTAATGGAAGTACCCAATACTGCATATGAAAGAGTCTAGGAACAAAATCAACCCCAAAGGTGATCAAGCTGCTAGATCCGACTACTGCTTTACACGAAATAAAGAAAATAAGAATGTTAAATGATACCATGAGGACACAATCAGTAAAACCCAGATTTTATTTGTTTTTTTCTATTTGTTTGTTTGTTTTCTGAGATGGAGTTTCACTCATTGCCCAGACTAGAGTGCAGTGGCGCCATCTCGGCTCACTGCAACCTCCGCCTCCCGGGTTCAAATGATTCTCTTGCCTCAGCCTCCCAAGTAGCTGGGATTACAGGCATCCACCACCAAGCCTGGCTAATTTTTTGTATTTTTAGTAGAGATGGGGTTTCACCATGTTAGCCAGGCTGGTCTGGAACCCCTGACCTCGGGTGATCCGCCCACCTCGGCCTCCCAAAGTGCTGGGATTACAGGAATGAGCCAGCGCACCCGGCCTTAAATCCAGATTTTAGGAAACTGTATAGGAACACATGACAAATATTCTTTAATAAATTGCAAGGAAAACAGAAAGATTTTAGAAGAGGGAACCTAGTGATTAAAGGAAACTTAAGAGACACATTAACCAACCAAAACTTATGGATCTTTTTTATTTTTTATTTTTTGAAATGGAGTTTCGCTCTTGTTGCCCAGGCTGGAGTGAAATGGCACGATCTCGGCTCACTGCAACCTCTGCCTCCTGGGTTCAAGAGATTCTCTTGCCTCAGCTTCCCAAGTAGCTGGGATTACAGGCATCCGCCACCACGCCCGGCTAATTTTGTATTTTTAGTAGAGATGGGGTTTCTCCATGTTGGTCAGGCTGGTCTCGAACTCCCGACCTCAGGTGATCCGCCCGCCTCGGCCACCCAAAGTTCTGGGATTACAGGCATGAGCCACTGCACCTGGCCTATGGATCTTTTTCAGGTCATGATTCAAACAAACTATAAATAGAATGATGATGATGATGATGAGACAGTGGGAATATTTGAACACTGAATATTTGATGATATTAAGGAATTATTTCACACCTGTAATCCTAGCACTTTGGGAGGTCAAGGCACTTGAGCCCAGGAGTTCAAGACCAACGTGAGCAACATGGTGAAGCCCTATTTCTACAAAAAATACAAAAACTAGCCGGGTGTGGTGGCATGCACCTGTCATCCCATCTGCTTGGGAGGCAGAGGTGGGCGGATCATGAAGTCAGGCGATCAAGACCATCCTGGCTACCACGGTGAAACCCCATTTCTACTAAAAATACAAAAAATTAGCCAGGCGTGGTGGTGAGCGCCTGTGGTCCCAGCTACTCAGGAGGCTCAGGCAGGAGAATGGTGTGAACCCGAGAGGCAGAGCTTGCAGTGAGCCAAGATCGGGCCACTGCTCTCCAGCCTGGGTGACAGAGCTAGACTCCATCTCAAAAAAAAAAAAAGAAAAAAGAAAAAAAAAAAATGATCTGTTGCTTAGAAATGTTAAGTTTGGCCAGGTGTGGTGGCTCACACCTGTAATCCTAACACTTTGGGAGGCCGAGGCAGGCAGATCACTTTAGGTCAAGAGTTCAAGACCAGCCTGGGCAACATGGTGAAACCCTGTCTTTACTAAAAATACAAAAAATTAGCTGGGCATGATGGCTAGCACCTGTAATCCCAGCTACTTGGGAGGCTAAGGCAGGAGAATGGCTTGAACCTGGGAGGCGGAGGTTGCGGTGAGCTGAGATGGTGCCATTGCACTCCAGCCTGGGCAACAAGAGCGAGACTCTGTCTCAAAAAAAAAAAAAAAAAAAGAAAGAAAGAAATGTTAAATTCAGCTCCCAGGATTTTGAACCATTAAGGAATCAGCTCACAGCCTCTTCATACTCATCACACTGTGGGTTCCTTTATCCCTGTGTATCTGCATGGGCCCCTGTAAAGAATGGGCAAGGGTGGGTGTGGTGGCTCACGCTTGTAATCCCAGCACTCTGGGAAGCTAAGGCGGGTGGATCACCTGAGTTCAGGAGTTCGAGACCAGCCTGGCCAACATGGTGAAACCCCATCTCTACTAAAAATACAAAAATTAGCCAGGCATGGTGGCACACGCCTGTAGTCCCAGCTACTCAGCAGGCTGAGGCAGGAGAATTGCTTGAACCCGGGAGGTGGGAGTGGCAGTGAACCGAGATCTCACCACTGCACTCCATCCTGGGTGACAGAGTGATACTACCTCTCAAAACAAACAAACAAACAAAAAACCGCCGGGCTCTGTGGCTCACGGCTGGGCACGATGGCTCACACCTGTAATCCCAGCACTTTGGGAGGCCGAGGTGGGTGGATCACCTGAGGTTGGGTGTTCGAGACCACCCTGACCAACATGGAGAAACCCCGTCTCTACTAAAAATACAAAATTAGCTGGGTATGGTGGCCTGTAATCCTAGCTGCTCGGGAGGCTGAGGCAGGAGAACTGCTTGAACCCAGGTGGCGGAGGTTGCAGTGAACCGGAGATCGCACCATTGCACTCCTGCCTGGGTAACAAGAGCGAAAACAAAAACAAAAGAACAAAACAAAAAAACAAAAGAATGGGCAAAAGGTCTTGGGATTCCCGAAAAGGGCTGATTTGGGGTCTAGGTGAGGTGAGGTGTTAAAGGAATTTAATGTGTCAGATGATATTTGTGAGGCCATGTCATGAACCACTGTTCATGCCTATAATCCCAAAGACTTGGGAGACTGAGGCTGAAGGATCACTTGAGGCCAGGAGTTCAAGATCAGCCTGGGCAGCATAGTGAGATCCCTGGCTCTACAAAAAAAATCTAAAAATCAGCCAGGTGTGGTGGCGAATGCCTGTAGTCCCAGCTATTCCAGAGGCTGAGGTGGGAGGATCGTTTGAGCCCAGGAGGTCAAGGCTGCAGTGAGCTATGATGGTACCACTGTACTACAGCCTAGATCACAGAGTGAGATCGTGTCTCCAAAAAAAAAAAAAAAAAAAAAGACAATATTTATGTTAAGCCTTGAAGGACAAAGCAAGAAGGGAATTTCTGAGCAACTACGGCATGCCAAGTATTCTGCTGAGCCTTTGTCTGCATTTTCTCATTTAATCTTCACAGTAATCCTGTGAGGTTGTATTCCCTTTTTATTACATGACAAAACTGAATTGGCAGGCAGGAAGTGAGGCTGTCAATATTTCAGAGCCAGCCTTTAGTCTCAGCACTGCCATTTGGGGAAAGGAGACTGGTAAATTGGCAATTTCAGCACAGGTACTGTTTCTCACCAGCCAGTGCTGGGCAATCAATAAAAATCCAGAAACCTGTTAGCCCCAGCAGGGACCTACCCACTGTGCGAAGAGGAGGAGGAAACCTTGGCTGTCATCACAGCAGCCAGAAAGGGCACCACCACTCTTTGGCTTCTGCAGTCTGGGCCGACACCAAGAGTCTGGACTTTTCTGCTCACAGCATGTCTATGAACCTGGAAGAGTGGCATCAAATGCTGATGTCCTGAGCCACAGGCTCAGGGCAGTCCCAGGCTGGGGGATGCCATTCCCACATTGTGACTGCTTTTTTTTGAGACGGAGTTTTGCTCTTGTTGCCCAGGCTAGAGTGCAATGGCATGATCTCCGCTCACCGCAATCTCTACCTCCCGGGTTCAAGCAATTCTCCTGCCTCAGCCTCCTGAGTAGCTGGGACTACAGGCGCCCACCACATGTGATTGCTTTTAATCACCCTCCCGCCTTTCAGGGTCACGGATCCCAAGCCCCTTATGAGCCTTGTCTTCAGTCACCTGCTCACTGAGGCTGTCTTTTAAGCAGAAGTTGTGTTTCCTGCCCGTGTCACCCATAGCACGCCAGGAACTGTTGTCACCCTGGCCACTCTAAAGAGCTACATCTGCTTCCTTGGAGCTGTTTCTGATGATGAAAAAGTCATAAAAAGGCTGGGTGCAGTGGCTCATGCCTGTAATCCTAGCACTTTGGGAGGGCAAGGTGGGAGGATCACTTCAGCTCAGCAGTTCAAGACCAAGCTGGGCAACATAGCGAGATCAAAAAAAAAAATTTTTTTTTTTGAGACAGAGTCTCGCTCTCCCGCTCTGTTGCCCAGGCTGGAGTGCAGTGGCAGGATCTTGGCTCACTGCAAGCTCCGCCTCCTGGGGTCACGCCATTCTCCTGCCTCAGCCTGCTGAGTAGCTGGGATTACAGGCGCCCGCCACCATGCCTGGCTAATTTTTTTTGTATTTTTTAGTAGAGACAGGGTTTCACTGTGTTAGCCAGGATGGTCTCGATCTCCTGACCTCGTGAACCACCTGCCTCGGCCTCCCAAAGTGCTGGGATTACAGTCATGAGCCACCATGCCCAGCCTTTTTTTTTTCAATTGGAAAAGTATGGCCGGGCATAGTGGCTCACGCTTGTAATTCCAGCACTTTGGGAGGCCGAGGTGGGTGGTTCACGAGGTCAGCAGTTCAAGACCAGCCTGGCCAACACAGTGAAACCCTGTCTCTACTAAAAATACAAAAATTAGATGGGCGTGGTGGGGGGGCACCTGTAATCCCAGCTACTCGGGAGGCTGAGGCAGGTGAATCGCTAGAACCCGGAAGGCAGAGGTTGCAGTGAGCCAGGATTGAGCCACTGCACTCCAGCCTGGGTGACAGAGCTAGGATCTGTCTCAAAAAGAAAAAAAAGCATAAAGGAAGGCCAGGCGCAGTGTCTCATGCCTGTAATCCCAGCACCATGGGAGGCCGAGGCAGGCAGATCATGAGGTCAGGAATTCTGAGACCAGCCTGCCC
Organism: Homo sapiens; assembly: GCF_000001405.40. Classification (NCBI taxonomy): domain Eukaryota; kingdom Metazoa; phylum Chordata; class Mammalia; order Primates; family Hominidae; genus Homo; species Homo sapiens. The sequence continues at coordinate 4,380,516 of NC_000017.11, read as the reverse complement.
AATATGCTGAAACCCTGTCTCTACTAAAAATACAAAAATTAGCCAGGCAGCTGGGCACAGTGGCTCACTCCTGTAATCCCAGCACTTTGGGAGGCCAAGGTAGGTGGATCACCTGATGTCAGGAGTTTGAGACCAGCCTGGCCAACATGTTGAAACCCCCCCACCTACTAAAAATAAAAAAATTAGCCAGGCATGGTGGCACATCCTTTTATTCCCAGCTACTCGGGAGGCTGAAGCAGGAGAATCATTTGAACCCGGGAGGCAGACGTTGCAGTGAGCCCACATCATGCCATTGCACTCCAGCCTGGGCAACAAGAGCGAAACTCCATCTCAAAAAAAAAAAAAAAAAAAAAAAAGGCCAGGTGCAGTGGCTCACGCCTGGAATCCTAGCACTTTGGGAGGCTGAGGCGGGTGGATCAACTGAGGTCAGGAGTTTGAGACCAGCCTTACCAATATGGTGAAACCCCGTCTCTACTAAAAATACAAAAATTATGGGCCGGGCGCTGTGGCTCATGCCTGTAATCCCAGCACTTTCAGAGGGCGAGGCGGGCAGATCACAAGGTCAGGAGATCAAGACCATCCTCGCTAACATGGTGAAACCCCGTATCTACTAAAAATACAAAAAATTAGCTGGGCATGGTGGTGGGCTCCTGTAGTCCCAGCTACTCGGGAGGCTGAGGCAGGAGAATGGTGTGAACCCGGGAGGCGGAGCTTGCAGTGAGCCGAGATTGCGCCACTGCACTCCAGCCTGGGCAACAGGGCGAGACTCCATCTCAAAAAAAATAAAAAATAAAAAATAAAAATAAAAATACCAAAACTAGCAGGGCGTGCTGGCATGCACCTGTAGTCCCAGCTACTCGGGAGGCTGAGGCAGGAGAATCACTTGACCCAAGAGTCAGAGGTTGCCCTGAGCCAAGATCGCACCACTGCACTCCCGCCCGGACGGCAGAGCAAGACTGTCTCAAAAAAAAAAAAAAAAGAATGTCTGAGCCAGCAAGACAATTAGGCTAGGAAGCTCTAAACCTGTACTGTTCAGCACCATAACCACTAGTCACATGAGCGCGCCTGAGATGTCCTTTTTTTGTTCATTTTTGACACAGATTCTGGCTCCCGGGTTCAAGCAATTCTCCTGCCTCAGCCTCCCGAGTAGCTGGGATTACAGGCGCCCGCCACCACGCCCAGCTAATTTTTTGTATTTGTAGTAGAGACGGAGTTTCACTATGTTGGCTGGGCTGGTCTCCAAGTCCTGAGCTTGGGCAATCTACCTGCCTCGGCCTCCCAAAGTGCTCGGATTACGGGTGTGAGCCACCACACCTGGCCTATTTTCCTTTAATTATTATTATTATTATTATTATTTTTAATCTACAAAAAGTTAGTAAAGTTAATAGAGGCTTATTCTGTGGTGTCAAGAACACAGAATAAGACTCTGTTAACTTTACTAACTTTACTTTAGATTAAAAAAAAAAAAGAACATGAGGCACGCTATTTGGTACCACCCTCTGCCAGGTACACAAATCCAAATACCCAAATTAAATAAGCAGAGTCCTATACTTATCTGGGAGAATTACCCTGTTATTGATTTTATAGGATTCATGAGTTCATTCAGGAGATATTTGTTAGGTGCTACTGTATAGCATCATTATATTAAACTCTGCGAACAAAGACATGAAAGACAGTCCTGCCATCACAAGCTTATACACAGAAAAGAAAAATAATCAACTGCAATCCTGCATGACAAATGCTAGGATAAGAGATGTAATACAAGCTGGAAGTAGGAAACAGGGAAGATAAGATTAGTTTAGAGATTGCCAGAGGTATTCTGGAGGAAGTTGCTTCTTTCAAGGATCTGAAAGATGGATTTGTAGGTATTAACCACATACATCTAGCAGAAATGAGTGCTATTTGCTTGTTTATTTGTTTGTTTTTGAGACGGAGTCTCGCTCTGTTGCCAGGCTGGAGTGCAATGGCGCGATCTCAGCTCACTGCAACCTCCGCCTCCTGGGTTCAAGCGATTCTCCTGCCTCAGCCTCCCGAGTAGCAGGCGTGCACCACCACGCCTGGCTAATTTTTGTATTTTTAGTAGAGACGGGGTTTCACTATGTTGGCCAGTATGGTCTCCAACTCTTGACCTCATGATCCCCCGCCCCCGTCTCGTCCTCCCAAAGTGCTGGGATTATAGGCGTGAGCCAGCACGCCTGGCCCAGAAAAGAGTGTTTTAAGCTATTGTAACACCAAATGGAAAGACCTTTTGGAGGAAGGAAAGAAGTGTAGTGTGTCAGAAGTAGAGTGTGTCAGGATGAGGCTAGAGCATCCCTAGAGACTAGATTGTGAAGGGCAGACATTTAAGCCAAAATGGGGTCAGGCGCGGTGCCTCACACCTATAATCCCAGCACTGTGGGAGGCCGAGGCAGGCGATCACTCGAGGTCAGGAATTCGAGACCAGCCTGGCTAACACGGTGAAACCCTGTCTCTACTAAAAATACAAAAAATTAGCCGGCCGTGGTGGCGGGCGCCTGTAGCCCCAGCTACTCAGGAGGCTGAGGCAGGAGAATCACTAGAACCTGGGAGGCGGAGGTTGCAGTGAGCCGAGATCCTGCCATTGCACTCCAGCCTGAGCAACTAAGTGAGACTCCTTCTCAAAAAAAAAAAAAAAGAAAGAAAGAAAGAAAAAAGAAACACGGTTTCAACCGGGTATGGTATGGTGGCTCACACCTATAATCCCAGCACTTTGGGAGGCCAAGGTGGGTGGATCACAAGGTCAGGAGTTTGAGACCAGCCTGGCCAACATGGCGAAACTCCATCTCTACTAACAATATAAAAATTAGCCAGGCGTGGTGGCACATGCCTGTAGTTCCAGCTACTTGGGAGGCTGAGGCAGGAGAATAGCTTGAACCCGGGAGGCAGAGGTTCTGGTGAGCCGAGATCAGGCCACTGCACCACTGCACTCCAGCCTGGGCAATAGAGGAAGACTATGTCTCAAAAAAAAAAAAAAAAAAAATGATGGTCAGGATGGGTGGCTGGAAACCGAGAATTTGGGGTGTGGTGTGGTTTTGGGTGACAAGACTGTCTCATGTGAACATAGGCCAGCTGGTGGGAAGGGGAGGAGAAGAAGTCAAGTGGTGACAGGCAGGGGTACTGGATGGGTCATCCACGTGGGTAATTAGGTCCCCAAGGAGAAGGGCTGGAGTAGAAGGAAGAGAAGGGCTGTGAGGCAGGAACCAAAGTTCGTGATGAGCGGGTCTGCCGGTCACAGCACCAAAGGGGAGTAACAAGTGCTGCAGCTGGATGGCATTAACCTCAAACGAGCTAGGGGCTGGCCGGGCGTGGTAGGTCACACCTGTAATCCCCAAAATTTGGGAGGCCAAGAATGGGCAGATCACTTGAGGCCAGAAGTTCGACCAGCCTGGCCAACGTGGTGAAACCCCGTCTCTACTGAAAATACAAACATTAGCCATGCGTCGTGGTGGGCATCTGTAATCCCAGCTACTCGGGAGGCTGAGGCAGGAGAATCGGTTGAACCCAGGAGGCAGACAGTGAGCCAAGATCACGGCACTGCACCACTCCAGCCTCAGTGACAGAGTGAGACTCAGTCTCAAAAAAAAAAAAAAAAAAAGGTCCGGGCATGGTGGCTCACGCCTGTAATCCCAGCACTTTGGGAGGCCGAGGCGTGCGGATCACCTGGGGTCAGGTGTTCGAGACCAGCCTGGCCAACCTGGTGAAACCCCCATCTCTACTAAAAATACAAAAATTAGCTGGGCATGGTGGTGTGTGCCTGTAATCCCAGGTACTCGGGAGGCTGAGGCAGGAGACTCGCTGGAACCCGGGAGGCAGAGGCTGCAGTGAGCAGAGATCATGCCACGGTACTCCAGCCTGGGTGACAGAGCAAGACTCCGTCTCAAAAAAATAAATACATAAAAATAAAGGCTGGGCGCAGTGGCTCACGCCTGTAATCCCAGCACTTTGGGAGGCCGAGGCAGGCAGATTACCTGAGGTCAGGAGTTTGAGAGCAGCCTGGGCAACGTGGTGAAACCCCAACTTTATTAAAATACGAAAATTAGCTGGGCGTGGTGGCACACATCTGTAATCCCAGCTATTTGGGAGGCTGAGGCAGGAGAATCCCTTGAACTCAGGAGGCGGAGGTTGCAGTGAGCCGAGATCGTGCCACTACACTCCAGCCTGGGCGACAGAGCAAGACTCCATCTCAAAAAACAGAAACAAACAAACAAAAAAGCAAGGGCCCAGGTGCAGTGGCTCACAAGTGTAAACCCAACACTCTGGGAGGCTGAGAGGGAAAAGGTGGCTTGAGGCCAGGAGTTTGAGAACCTGTTTCTTTTTTATTTTATTTTTTTTGAGACAGAGTCTCACTCTGTTGCCCAGGCTGGTGCAATTTCAGCTCACTGCAACCTCTGCCTCCCGGTTTCAAGTGATTCTCCTGCCTCAGCCTCCTGAGTAGCTGGAACTACAGGTGTGCCACCATGCCAGGCTAATGTTTGTATTTTCAGTAGAGACGGGGTTTCACCACGTTGGCCAGGCTGGTCGAACTTCTGGCCTCAAGCGATCTGCCCATTCTTGGCCTCCCAAATTTTGGGGATTACAGGTGTGACCTACCACGCCCGGCCAGCCCCTAGCTCGTTTGAGGTTAATGCCATCCAGCTGCAGCACTTGTTACTCCCCTTTGGTGCTGTGACCGGCAGACCCCCTCATCACGAACTTTGGTTCCTGCCTCACAGCCCTTCTCTTCCTTCTACTCCAGCCCTTCTCCTTGGGGACCTAATTACCCACGTGGATGACCCATCCAGTACCCCTGCCTGTCACCACTTGACTTCCTCTTCTCCCCTTCCCACCAGCTGGCCTATGTTCACATGAGACAGTCTTGTCACCCAAAACTGCACCACCCCCTGATTCTCAGTTTCCAGCCACCCACCCTGACCACCATTTCTTATCCTTCCAGCTTACTTGATTTAGTGTTCACACCATGCAACTCTTCCACCTCAACAGGACCCCGTTCTGTGTACCATTTTTCACTATCCGTCATTTCCCTTCTGTTTTGTCTTCCTTCTCTTCCAAGCTTAGAGAATAGTCCATTACTACAACCCTTCTCTGCATACACCCTCAACCAACTCAGCTGTTTGTCTCCCTCTCTCTCCGTTTTACTTGCCTGGCTGATCCTCAAGCCTGAATGAACCCAACTACAAGTCATAACTGCACCTGAGCAACTGAACATTACTGGAAAAAAAAATAAGAAAAACCTCAACTGGACCTACAGGTTGCACTTTCAGTTCATGACCACAAACCTCAAATAAACTCCCAGCATTGAAACCTCCACCTCCTTGCCCTCTACTCAACCTTCAGCCCACGCTGCTCTGACAGCCCTCAACACTGCTCCATCAACATCCTCCATCAGGGTCAGCAGCAACTTCCCGGTTTCAGAATTCAAAGCACACCTCTCAGCCTTCGTCTTTCTCTACTTCTCAGCAGCATGGAGTTGTTGATCATTCCTTCTTTCTGGGAACATTTTCTCATCTTGGCTTTTGCGAAACCACACCAAGTTTCTCTCCTCTTTTGTCTTTTCTTTCTCAGCCTCCATTGCTGGCTCCTTCTCCATCTGACCTCTAAATCTTGGGGTGCTTCAGGGCTCATTTTTAGGCCTTTTTATTGTTATTTTTTATTTTATTTTTATTTATTTCTTTATTTTTTGGAGACATAGTCTCACTCTGTTGCCCAGGCTTGAGTGCAATGGCGCGATCTCAGCTCACTGCAACCTCCGCCTCCCGGGTTCCAGCGATTCTCCTGCCTCAGCCTCCTGAGTTGCTGGGATTACAGGCACGCGCCAACACGCCTGGCTAATTTTTATATTTTTAGTAGAGAAGGGGTTTCACCATGTTGGCCAGGCTGGGCTCGAACTCCTGACCTCAAGTGATCCGCCCACCTCAGCCTCCCAAAGTGCTGGGATTACAGGCATGAGCCACAGCGCCAGGCCTATTTTTTATTTTTTATTATTTTTATTTTTTTTGAGATGGAGTCTCACTCTGTCACCCAGGCTGGAGTGCAATGGTGCGATCTTGGCTCACTGCACCCTCCACCTCCCAGGTTCAAGTGATTCTCTCACCTCAGCCTCCCGAGTAGCTGGGAGTACAGACGCCTGCCACCACACCTGGCTAATTTTGTATTTTCAGTAGAGAAGGGGTTTCACCATGCTTGCCAGGCCTGTCTCGAACTCCTGATCTCAGGTGATCCACCTGCCTCAGCCTCCCAAGGTGCTGGGATTACAGGTGTGAGCGACAGCACCCGGCCTATTTTTAATTTTTTTTTTTTTTTTTACAGATATTGTCTTACTGTGTCACTCAGGCTGGAGTGTGGTGGTGCTATCATAGCTCACTGTAGCCTTAAACTCCTGGGCTCAAGCCATCCTCCTGCCTTAGTCTCCTGAGTAGCTAGGACTACAGGCATGCGCCACCATGCCTAGGTAAATTGTTTTCATTTTTTTGTAGAGAGGGAGTCTCACTATGTCACTATGTTGCCCGGGCTGCTTTTTTGTTTTGTTTTTAAACATCATTACACATTCTCCCCAGGAAACCTAACACTGACCTCTACAAATTTATGTCTGTAGCTTTGGTCTCTTTGCTGAGCTTGTCTTATTAGCATATGCTAATGTGACACCTCTGATTGGATGTCTAATAAACAAACAAAACATAACTCATCCAAAATAGATGACTTGGTATCACTCCAAACCCTATACTCTTCCCCATTTTGAAATCAAACCAGTTATTCCAGAAGTCATAAACCCAGGAATCATCCTTGATTCTTCCCCTTCCCCCCACCCACATTTATTAGCAAGACCTTTCCATTTAAATTTAAAACTGTATTTCAAATCCTTTCCCATTCCACTCTCCTGACAAATTTTATCATCCTTGCTCCTATTCTGGTTCAAACCATCAGGAACTTTGCCTTATCTTCTGTGATAGACTTCTAACTTGTCTTCTAGCAATGTTTTCTCTTTTATTTTTTTCCCTCTTTTTTTCTTTCCATTTTTTTAAGAGACGGGGTCTCACCATGTTGCCCAGGCTGGTCTAGAATTCCTGGGCTCAAGCGCTCCTCCCACTACAGCCTCCCAAAGTGCTGAGATTACAGGCGTGAGCCACTACACCCAGCCCTCTTTTCAATAAATTACAAAATGAGATTTAAAAAATGTAAATCTGGTGGCCAGGCACGGTGGCTCACGCCTGTATTCCCAGTACTTTGGGAGGCTGAGGCGGGAGGATTACAAGGTCAGGAGATTGAGACCATCCTGGCCAACATGATGAAACCCCGTCTCTACTAAAAACACAAAAATTAGCTGGGCGTGGTGGTGGGTGCCTGTAATCCCAGCTACTTGGGAGGCTAAGGCAGGACAATAACTTGAACCCAAGAGGTGGAGGTTGCAGTCAGTGCCACTGCATTCTGGCATGGCAACAGAGCAAGACTTCGTCTAAAAAAAAAAAAAAAAACGGCCAGGCACAGTGGCTCACACCTGTAATCCCAGCACTTTGGGAGGATCAAGAGTCAGGAGATCAAGACCACCTTGGCTAACACGGTGATACCCCGTCTCTACTAAAAATACAAAAAAAAAAAAAAAAAAAAATTAGCCGGGCGTGGTGGCGTGCACCTGTAGTCCCAGCTACTTGGGAGGCTGAGGCAGGAGAATGGCATGAACCCGGAAGGTGGAGCTTGCAGTGACCACTGCACTCCTGCCTTGGCGACAGAGCAAGACTCCATCTCAAAAAAAAAGAAAAGAAAAAAAAAGTAACTCTGGTGGGGCACAGGGACTCACGCCTAAAATCCCAGCACTTTGGGAGGCTGAGGTGGGTGGATCACCTGAGGTCAGAAGTTCGAGACCAACCTAGCCAACATGGTGAAACCCCGTCTCTACTAAAAATACAAAAATTAGTAGGGTGCGGTTTTGCACACCTGTAATCCTAGCTACTCAGGAAGCTGAGGCAGGAGAATCACTTGAATCCAGGAGGCGGAGTTTGCAGTGAGCCGAGATCACGTCATTGCACTCCAGCCTGGGCGACCAGAGTGAAACTCTGTCTCAAAGAAAGAAAGAAAGAAAAAACAAGTAATCCAGATCACTCTCCTCCGAAGGCTTTTATTTATTGCAACTAAATGAAATTCTGAACTCTTCACTGTGGTCAACAGGGTCCTCTGAGATGACACCTGCCTGCCTCTCCCACCTCCACTTACAGCCGCTTTTTCATTAGGCTGTAATGGAGCTGCCCATCCATGCTGATCTCCTTTCTGGCCTTTTTATTATTTTTTTAAATTTTAAATTTATTTTTTATTATTTAAAAAAATGAGACGGCTGGGACTTGCGGGCCGTGGGGGAGAGGGTGGGGTGGGTCTCACGATGCTGCCCAGACTGGCCTCAAACTCCTGGGCTCAAGAAATCCTCCTGCCTCAGCTTCCCAAAGTGTTGGAATAACAGGCTTGAGCCACCGCATCCCACCCCACCCTTTCTAGTCTTTCTTTGTAGCAGCTGATAATTCTCAATTGAGAGTCTTTCCTACCACTGGGCTTTAGCAGTAACCATTTGCTCTGCCTGGAATGCTCGTCCCCAGAATCATCAAATGGCATATCCTGTTTGTAATCTCATTCTAATTAAAATCTTTTCAAAGGCCTTCCCTATTTTATCTAGAACAGACCCTATTCCTCAGTTGTTCACACACCCTATTCATTTCCATCTTATCACTTATCATAATCCAATGCTGATTTTTTTTTTTTTTTTGGAAACAGGGTCTTGCTCTTTTGTCCAGGCTGGAGTGCAGTGGTGTGATCATGGCTCACTGCAGTCTCAACTTCCTGGGCTCAAGGGATCTTCCCACCTCAACCCTCCTGAATAGCTGGGACTACAGGCATGTTCTGCCATGTCTGGTTAATTTTTTAATTTTTTTTTTTTAGACGAAGTCTCGCTCTTGTCCCCCAGGCTAGAGTGCAATGGTGCAATATCGGCTCACTGCAACCTCTGCCTTCTGGTTTCAAGCGATTCTCCTGCCTCAGCCTCCCGAGTAGCTGGGATTACACGTGCCTGCCACCATGCCTGGCTAATTTTTGTATTTTTAGTAGAGACGGGATTTCACCATGTTGGCCAGGCTGGTCTCGAACTCCTGACCTCAGGTTATCCACCCGCCCCGGCCTCCCAAAGTACTGGGATTATAGGCATGAGCCACCGCACCCGGACAGTTTTTAAATTTTCTGTAGAGATGCGGCCTCACCTTGTTGCTTAGGTTGGTCTCGAAATCTTGGGCTCAAGAGATCTGACTGCCTCGACCTCCCTAAGTGTTGGTACTACAGTCGTGAGCTACCAGGCCTGAACAAATGTTGACCTTAATAGTTGTTTACTTCTTTTTTTTTTTGAGATGGAGTCTCACTCTGATCTCAGCTCACTGCAAGCTCTGCCTCCCGGGTTCAAGTGATTCTTGTGCCTCAGCCTCCCGAGTAGCTGGAATTAAAGGCATGTGCCACCATGCTCGGCTGATTTTTATATTTTTAGTAGAGACAGGGTTTCTCCATGTTGGCCAGGTTGGTCTCCAACTCCTGACCTCAGGTGATCCACTCACCTCGGCCTTCCAAATTGCTGGGATTATAGGCGTGAGCCACCACGCCTGGCTGTTGTTTACTTTTTGACTATTCTGTCCCATTAGATGTTACTGTCATGAGGTAGGAACCTGGTCAGTGTAGTTTACACCTAGACCTTGAGTCCTAGGATTGTGTCTAGCTCATAGCAGTTGCTCAGTAAATGTTTGTTAAATAAAGCAATAGTTAGACAGTTGGGTGTGCAAGCGTTCATTCAGGCTTGAGGATCAGCCAGGCACTAAAATGGTGAGAGAAGGAGACAAACAGCCAAGTTTGTTGAGGGCGTATGAAGAGAAGGGTTGTAGTAATGGACTACTCTCTAAGCTCAGAAGAGAAGGAAGAGGAGAACAGGAAGGAAATGACAGATAGTAAAAAAGTGGTAAACAGGGCTGGACGCGGTGGCTCATACCTCTAATCCCAGCACTTTGGGAGGCCGAGGTGGGCAGATCACGAGGTCAGGAGATTGAGACCATCCTTGCTAACATGGTGAAACCCCATCTCTACCAATAATACAAAAAAAAAGAGCCAGGCATGGTGGCACGCGCCTATAGTCCCAGCTACTCGGGAGGCTGAGGCAGGAGAATCACTTGAACCCGGGAGGCGGAGGCTGCAGTGAGCCGAGATCGCACCACTGCACTCCAGCCTGGTTGACAGAGCGAGACTCTGTTTTAAAAAGAAAAGAAAAAAAAAAGTGGTACACAGAATGGGGTCTTGTTGGTGTGGAAGAGCTGTGTGGCGTGAACGCTAAAGCCAGTAAGCTGGAAGGATAAGGAATGGTGGTCAGGGTGCGTGGCTTGAAACCAAGTACTGGGGTGTGGTGGAATTTTGGGTGGCGAGACTGTCCCACGGGAACACGGAGAGGCCAGCTGGTGGGAAGGGAAGGAGAGGAAGTCAAGTGGTGAGAGGCAGGGGTACCGGACGGGTCATTCATGTGGGTAATTAGGTCCCCAAGGTGGAGGGCTGGAGTAGAATGAAGAGAAGGGCTCTGAGGCAGGAGGAAAAGTCCATGATGAATGGGTCTGCAGGTCACAGCACCAAAGGGGAGTGGCAAGTGCTGCAGCTGGATGGCATTAACCTCAAAAGCAAGAGGGCCCAGGTGCAGTGGCTCACGCGTGTAATCCCAGCACTCTGGGAGGCCAAGGCGGGAGGATCGCTTGAGACCAGTTTGAGACCAGCCTAACCAACAAAGCGAGACCCACTCCTTGGACTTGGTCTGTCATACCAATGGCACCCAGTCACCCGGGTCAGGAGAGTCACCTGTGGTGCTCCCTGCTCTTTCCTATATCCCATAGATCACCAAGGCCTACATATTCTTTGTTTTTTCGTTTTTTGTTTTTTTTGAGACGGAGTTTCACTCTTGTTGCCCAGGCTGGAGTGCAATGGCACAATCTCAGCTCACAGCAACCTCCCCTTCCCGGATTCAAGCAATTCTCCTGCTTCGGCCTCCCAAGTAGCTGGGATTACAGGCATGCACCATCACGCCCGGCTAATTTCGCCTTTTTTTTTTTTTTTTTTTTTGAGACAGAGTCTTGCTCTGTCGCCCAGGCTGGAGTGCAGTGGTGCGATCTCGGCTCACTGCAACCTCTGCCTTCTGGGTTCAAGCGATTCTCTTGCCTCAGCCTCCCAAGCAGCTGGGACTACTATTAGCTGGCCACCACGCCCAGCTAATTTTTGTATTTTTAGTAGAGACGGGGTTTCACTATGTTGGTGAGGCTGGTCTTGACCTCCTGACCTCGTGATCCACCTGCCTTGGCCTCCCAAAGTGCTGGGATTATAGGAGTGAACCACTGCCCTAGGCCCTAATTTTGTATTTTTAATAGAGACGGGGTTTCTCCATGTTGGTCAGGCTGGCCTCGAACTCCTGACCTCAGGTGATCTGCCCGCCTCGGCCTCCCAAAGTGCGGGGATTACAGACGTGAGCCACCTCGCCTGGCCACCAAGGCCTAAATATTTTATGGACACTCCTTAATCCAAGTCTTAGTTACTGCCACAATCTCCATAAGGGTCTCCAGGCTTTAAAAATTTTTATTAAAATTTTAAAATGTTTATTAAAAAAATATTTTGGGCTGGGCATAGTGGCTCATGCCTGCAATTCCATCACTTTAGGAGGCTGAGGCGGGTGGATCACTTGAGCCCAGGAGTTCAAGACCAGCCTGGCCAACATGGTGAAACTCTGTCTCTACCGAAAATACAAAAATTCTCCAGCCATGGTGGCACAGGCCTGTAATCCCTGCCACTCAGGAGGCTGAGGCACGAGAATCACTTGAACCAGGGAGGCAGAGGTGCAGTGACCTGAGATTGTGCCACTGTACTCCAGCCTGGGCGACAGAGGGAGACTGTTTCAAAACAAAACAAAACACACTTTTTTGTAGCGATAGGGTCTTGCTCTGTCACCCAGGCTAGTCTCTAGCTCCTGGCCTCAAGTGATCCTCCTGCGTGGAGTTTCCAAAGAGCTGGGATTACAGATGAGAGCCACCACAGCCTGCAGGGCACTGGTCTTGACCCTCCCTCCCTCATCAATTCTCTGCAGCCACAGCAAAACATTCAAAATGCAAGTCTGCTATTTTTCTACTCCTAGTTAAAACTTTTCAGGGGCCTCCCACTGTTTAAGGATTAGGTTCAATTTCTAAACCTTTATCCAGCCCTGATCTTTCACCAGATTTGGAAATTATTACAAAAAATAAATCTTTTTTTTTTTTTTTTTTACAAAAAATAAATCTTAAGAAACTAGGAATAGGCCGGGCACAGTGGCCCTTGCCTATAATCCTAGCATTTTGGGAGGCTGAGGCAGGCGGATTGCCTGAGTTCAGGAGTTCGAGACCAGCCTGGGCAACATGGTAAAACCCCATCTCTACTAAAATACGAAAGAAAATTAGCCTGGCCTGGAGGCGTGCGCCTGTAGTCCCAGCTACTCAGGAGTCTGAGGCAGGAGAATTGCTTTAACTCGGGAACCTGAGAGGCAGAGGTTGCAGTGGGCCAAGATCACGCCACTGCACTCCAGCCTGGGCGACAGAACAAGGCTGTCTCAAAAAATAAATAAATAAATAAATAAAATAAAAAAGAAAGAAACTAGGAATAGAAGTAAATTTCCTTGATTTGGTAAAGTGAAATATCAAAATGGTCCCTTTGGTCTATTTGATAGGGGGCAGTGGTTCACACTTGTAATGCTAACACTTTGGGAGGCCGAGTTGGAAGGACTGCTTGAACCCAGGAGTTTGAGACCAGCCTGGGCAACACAGAGAGACCTCTGGCCCCCCCCTCCTTTTTTTTTTTTTTTGTGAGACGGAGTCTCTCTCTGTCGGCCATGCTGGAGTGCAGTGGCACCATCTCGGCTCACTGCAATCTCTGCCTCCTAGGTTCAAGCAATTCTCCTTTCTCAGCCTCCCTGGTAGCTGGGAGTACAGGCGCCTGCCACCAGGCTGGGCTAATTTTTGTATTTTTAGTAGAGACCAGGTTTCACCATGTTGGCCAGGATGGTCTCGAACTCGTGACCTCAGGTGATCTGCCCACCTCGGCCTCTCAAAGTGCTGGGATTACAAGCATGAGCCACCGCGCCCCGTCAAACCCCCCGATCTCTATAAAGCAAATAAAAAAATAGCAGGGCATGGTGGTGTGTACCTGTAATCCCAGATACTAAGGAGACTCAGATGGGAGGATCCCTTAAGCCCAGGAGTTCCAAGCTGCAGTGAGCTATGATCACTGCACTCCAGCCTGGGCGACAGAGAGAATTGCCGTCCATAAATGATAATAATAACAGGGCCGGTCTCGGTGGCTCAATAATAATAGGGCCGGACGCGGTGGCTTTTTTTGTGCACTCTTCATGTAAAGTGAGTTATCATCATATATTGCCTCTATTTTGATGTTTGGTTAAAATGGGGCACACCAGTACTAACTTCGGCTTTCTAACAATTCCTACTTCGCACACCATGTGGCAGTGTTAGATGGCTTTTGGGCGCTCGCCAAGGACTAGACATCTACCACTTCTTCTGGCCTCTTCGCTCCTATATCCACTGCTTCAATCCAGAGGCTGTATTTGACCCTCTGCGACCTCTTTGTCATGGCGTCCGCGGGGCGTCTACCAGCGGAGGCTTGGGCTGGCAGCCGGGCGTCGACCTTCCCAAAATGGCGGCGGACGGGACAACTGCGCTCAAGGGGCGGGGTTCCGCCGCCGGGGGCGGGGCGGGAGGCCGAGGGGTCGGGCTAGCGGGCGGGACGCTTCCCAAGTCGGCAGTCTCAGCGCGCCTGCGCCGAGCGGCCCTGCGCGCAGTGAGGCAGTGGCGGGGGAAGGCACCGGTGGGGCCGACGGGCGGGTTGAAGGAGGGAAGCGGGCGAGCGAAGTCCCAGTGCGCGCCGCGGCAGCCCGGGCACCCTCCCCTTCCGGGCGTGAGTCGCTGTGAAAAGAGCTGAAGCGAGCGGACTCGCACCGGCAGCGAGGCGCCGCTCCCGCCGCCTCAGCCCGGCCTTCCTCGGCTCCGGCGCTCCGGTCGCGGGGCCCGGGTTCCTCGGCACACCCCGCTCCAGCCGCCCCCAGAGCCTGTCCCCAGCCCTTCGGAAGCCCCGGCGCCAGCCCGGGCCCTCGGCAGGGAGGATGACGGAGCTGCAGTCGGCACTGCTACTGCGAAGACAGCTGGCAGGTGAGCAGGCGGGCGGCGGGGCGCCGGGCCCGGCCGCGATCGCGGACAGCCGCAGCCCAGTCCCTCTTCTCCTCCCGGGCCAGCGGCCGTACTGCCGAAGGGGCCCGGGCCTGCGAGGGTGGGGACCTCGAGGCTCCGGTCCCGGCCGGGCCCAGCCGTTCTCGCCCGGCTCTTGGAGGGCACTGGGGGCGGGGACGCGACCCAGCTCCGGCCCAGGGACTGGGCCTGGCGCCCGGGGGGTCGGAGAGGAGGAGGTCCCCTCCCCCACCGTTCTGTAGGACGTTGCGGGGGAGGGGCTGTGTGCGGGTCCCCAGGCCGGGGCCGCCAGCTTGGAGGGGCGGGTCCCGGGTTCAGGTGCTGCCGGGGCCGCCGGACCTTCGGGGCCGGCTGGAGCGTCCGGACCCAGTGCGGCTGCGAGTCCCCGGCTCGGTGTCTGAGGGCGGGCGGAAGGGACCGGCCCTGGCGGGATAGGTGAGGCGCACAAAACTTCTCCCCGGGCGGCGCTGGGTCCGCGGAGTTGGGGCCGACAACAAAAGCGCTGGCCTCGGCGGCCTCCACGCGGGCGCGAGGGTGCCGGAGACCCTGGCGGAGTGCGGATCGCCGCCTCGCCTGCCTCCGCCTGGCACGGGCTCCGGCTGCGCCGCCCGGCTGGGGGAGGGTAGGAGCGGGCCGCGGGGAGAGCCGCTCGCTGGCCGGCTCCGGGCTTTGTGCTCGCCGCGATTCCGGCTGCTGCGCAGGCCTGCAAACCCCGGAGCTGCGCCCGCAGGCTCTGGCCCGGGGCGGCGGCCGGGTCGGCCTCCCCGAGGAGCCTGCGGCCCCCCTCCCCCATTGTCCCGGCCTCCGGCCGTTTGCGGCTTCCAGGTTGACTTTTTAGGGGGTTGGCTCCTACTCTGCTAGGACTGTGTGCGCGGAGCATGCGCAGTGGAGACGTCCGTGTGCGGAGTGGAAGGGGGGAGGCGGGTTGGTGGCTTCACAATGCAGCCCCACGTGCTGCCAGATTTAAAGAGAAATGAACCAGCACTTACCCCTGCTGTACAACACCCGGCGTGTGTCATTCTCAGTTCAAGCGATCTTCCCCCTACCCACTCTAAAACCAGTAGCCTCTAGCCCTCAGCAGAAGCCAAAGACTGGAGTGATGAAATCTGTTTTTGAAATACATTTACTAAGAGTTTGAGGTGTTCGTTAAATCACCTTTATGGCTTCTTAAGGAAAAGGTTGTCAGGGGTTCTTACAGATTGTATAATTGGGTTTATTATTAGACCATGAGCAAGCAGGTTTGGACAAGTATTAAAGTTCTAGATGCTCAGGGGGAGTTAGCTTGCAGTAAATGGAGAAGTTCTAATGATACTACAGGATACTCATAAAAATTATGTGCTGGAAAAGCACTGAGGCCGGGCGCGCTGGCTCACGCCTGTAATCCCAGCACTTCGGGAGGCCGAGGCTGGCGGATCACCTTAGGACAGGAGTTCAGGGCCAGCCTGGCCAAAGTGGTGAAACCCCCGTCACTACTAAAAATACAAAAAATTATTCGGGCGTGGCGGAGGGCGCCTGTAATCCCAGCTACTCAGGAGGCTGAGGCGGGAGAATTGCTTGAACGCGGGAGGCATCGTTGCAGTGAGCTGAGATCGCGCCATTGCTTTCCAGCCTGGGCAACAGAGCGAGACTCTGTTCAAAAAAAAGAAGGGCCGGGCGCGGTGGCTCACACCTGTAATCCCAGCACTTTGGGAGGCCGAGGCGGGCGGATCACGAGGTCAGGAGATCGAGACCATCCTGGCTAACACGGGGAAACCCTTTCTCTACTAAAAATCCAAAAATTAGCCGGGCGTGGTGGCGGGCGCCTGTAGTCCCAGCTAATCGGGAGGCTGAGGCAGGAGAATGGCGTGAACCCGGGAGGCGGATGTGCAGTGAGCCGAGATGGCGCCACTGCACTCCAGCCTGGGCGACAGAGCGAGACTGTGTCTCAAAAAAAAAAAAAAAGAACTTTATTGCATTTTTTTTTTTTTTTTTGAGGCAGAGTCTCACTCTATTGCCCAGGCTGGAGTGGAGTTGCGCGATCTCGGCTCACTGCAACCTCTGCCTCCTGGGTTCAAGTGATTCTCCTGCCTCAGCCTCCCGAGTAGCTGGGATTACAGGCGCGCGGCACCAAGCTTGGCTAATTTTTTGTATTTTTAGTAGAGATGGGATTTTACCGTGCTGGCTAGGCTGGTCTTGAACTCCTGACCTGGTGATCCGCCTGCCTGGGCCTCCCAAAGTATTGGGATTACAGGCGTGAGCCACCGTGCCCGTCTGCATCTTTTTTTTTTTTTTTTTTTTTTTTTTTGAGACGGAGTCTTACTCTGTTGCCCAGCTGGAGTGCAGTGGCGCAATCTCGGCTCACTGCAAGCTCCGCCTCCCGGGTTCACGCCATTCCCCTGCCTGAGCTTCCCGAGTAGCTGGGACTACAGGCGCCCGCCACCACGCCCGGCTAATTTTTTGTATTTTCAGTAGAGACGGGGTTTCACTGTGTTAGCCAGGATGGTCTTGATCTCCTGACCTCGTGATCCGCCCGTCTCAGCCTCCCAAAGTGCTGGGATTACAGACGTGAGCCACCGGGCCCGGCCTCTCTGAATTCTTACATAATGGAAAAGATAAACATTTAAAAGGTGTGAAAGAAGTTATGCATTACTAAGAAAGTAAAATAAGATAACAATGTCAGCAGCAGCAATGTGTGAAAGGATTTCCTATCCGTTTGTGAACCAGCTCTAGATTTTGATGGTCATCTGGTTCCGTTTTGCACTTTTTTTTGACAATGTATATAGCAAATATTAATAAAACGTCCCAAAGCTCTTTCTTAATGATTGACTTTCTGATGGGGCATACTAAAATACACTTTAAGATAGAGGAGAGAACAATTTAATTTGTATTTTTTCAGGCCTCATTGTAAAGTTACTTAGCTGCAGATTTAAGTTTTCCTGCCTTCTTGATCAGAAACAATGGGATTGTTTTTAATTTTTTTTTAAAATTTGAAGCATGTTAATTAACATGCTCAAAATGTACAAAGTAGTAGGGCAAGGCAAATGAATTTTAATTGAAATGTAAACATATCAAATTTATTGGAAAGATTCGATAACTACACACAGTGAAATAAAAGCCTTGTTTTATTTTATTTTTGAGACAGAGTTTTACTTTGTTGCCCAAACTGGGGTGCAGTGGCGAGATCTTGGCTGACGACAACTTCTGCCTCTGGGTTCAAGTGATTCTCCTGCCTCGGCCTCAGAGTTGCTGGGATTACAGAAGCCCTCCACTGTGTCTGGCCAATTTTTGTATTTTTAGTAGAGACAGGGTTTCACCATGTTGGCCAGGCTGGTCTCGAACTCCTGACTTCAGGTGATCCACCCACCTCGGCCTCCCAAAGTGCTGGAATTACAAGTGTGAGCCACCACCACCTTTCACCCAGACTGGAGCGCAGTGACATAATCTCAGTTCACTGCAACCTCCGCCTCCCAGGTTCAAGCGATTCTGCTGCCCCCTGCGGCCCCCAGTAGCTGAGATTACAGGCATGTACTACCACGCCAGGCTAATTTTTGTATAAAATTTCCAAAAACTTAAAACAACAATGGCTACATTTATTGAACCTCTAGTCTGTCAATCCTTAAGGATTTAAATTAATTACTTGGTAGAATATATCGGGTATGTTTTGTTGATAACATAATGAAGAATCTGGTTACTTTCAGAATTGAACAAAATGGTTCCTTGGGTTGTGGAGTGTCTCAGTCTTGGCGCTACTGACGTTTTGGGTTGAGTATTGTTGTAGGGCCTATTCTGTGCATTATAGATAGAATGTTCAGCAGCATTCGTGGCCTTCACCCACTAGATGCCAGTAGCATACTCCCTTAGTTGTGACAACCATAAATGTCTCCATTGCCAAATGTCTCCTGAGGGACAAAATCATCCCAGATTGAAGATTACTGAGTTAAAATGTTTCAGAGAAGACCATTATGGCTAATTGTTAAGCAAATAAAGACACCTAACAGATTCATGAAATCAGATAGGTTGTGTATTTCTCTGTGGATATTATTAGACTATGACTTACTCCTTTGCAAATTGAGCGGTGGCAATTCAAGTTTTGCAGTGCCTTATGTTAAACACTAAAAAATCCCTCAGCACAGGAGATACTTTTAAAACATTTTATCTTTTGAAAAGGTATTATAAGCATTGGTTAAAAATGCAAAGAGTACAAAAAAACATAGTCTTTTCACCCTGGCCATAAGTTCTTTTTGTGGAAGCAACCCATCATTGACAAATATGTCTTTTTTTTTTTTTTTTTTTTTTGAGACAGTCTTGCTCTGTCGCCCAGGCTGGATTGCAGTGGCCCAGGCTGGAATGCAGTGGCACGATCTCCGCTAAGTGCAACCTCCGCCTCGCGGGTTCAAGCGTTTCTTGTGCCTCAGCCTCCCAAGTAGCTGGGATTACAGGTGTGTGCCACGATGCCCAGGCTTATTTTTTGTATTTTTAGTAGAGACAGGGTTTTTGCCATGTTGGCCAGGCTGGTCTTGAACTCCTGATCTCAGGTGATTCACCCGCCTCAGCTTACGAAAGTGCTGGAATTACAGGCATGAGCCATCATGCCTGGCTGACAAATGTGTCTTTTCAGAGAGGTTCTTGTATGTATGTTTATATAGGCTAACGTTTACTGAGGACTAACATGTACCAGGCACTGTGCTGAGTACTTTATATATTTATTTTATTTTATTTTTATTTTTTTGAGACGGAGTCTCACTCTGTCACCCAGGCTGGAGTGCAGTGGTATAATCTCAGCTCACTGCAATCTCTCCCTCCTGGATTCAAGGGATTATCTTGCCTCAGTCTCTGTAGTAGCTGGGCTTACAGGTGCTGGCCACCATGCCCAGCTAATTTTTGTATTTTTAGTAGAGATGGGGTTTCACCATGTTGGCCAGGCTGGTCTTGAACTCCTGACCTCAAGTGATCTGCCCACCTTGGCCTCCCAAAGTGCTGGGATTACTGGCGTGAGCCACCACCCCTGGCCTCTATTGCATTTTTTTTTTCCCAACACAGAGTCTTGTTCTGTCACCCAGTCTGGAGTGCAGTGGTGCGATCTTGGTTCACTGCAACCTCCGCCTCCTGAGTTCAAGTGATTCTCCTGCTTTAGCCTCCCAAGTAGCTGAGATTACAGGTGTCCACCACCACGCCCAGCTAATTTTTGTAGTTTTAGTTGAGACAGGGTTTCGCCGTGGTGGCCAGGCCGATCTTGAACTCCTGACCTCAGGTGATCTGCCCACCTTGGCCTTCCAAAGTGGTGGGATTTACAGGCAGGAGCCACTGCGCCCAGCCCGTCTATTGCATAGATGTATATTTTTTGAGACGGAGCTTCACTCTTGTTGCCCAGGCTGTAGTGCAATGGCATGATCTAGGCTCACCACAACCTCCGCCTCCCCAGGTTCAAGTGATTCTCCTACCTCAGCCTCCCCAGTAGCTGGGATTACAGGCATGTGCCACTACACCTGGCTAATTTTGTATTTTTAGTAGAGATGGGGTTTCTCCATGTTGGTCAGGCTGGTCTTGAACTCCCGGTCTTAGGCGATCTGCCCGCCTCAGCCTCCCAAAGTGCTGGGATTACAGGCGTGAGCCACTGCGCCGGGCCAGTTTTATTATATAGTTTGTTAATACACATTATATGTTGTGATATTTCCATATATAGTTGTGAAATTAGGTGCATTTATCATTATTTAATAGAGTGGATCTAGGGTGGAAAATCTGATAATCCAGTGACTATCATTATATTGTTGCCTTTTGACTTCCTTTTCTCAGGTGAAGAATGTTTGATTGCACTGTCAAGATGAGTTTCAATCCTTCGCCTCTTTTGGTCTTGGGTACTTCAGTACAATTTTTTTGTTGGCAGGAGGGTACAGTGTGGGCATTCCTTTGCTTTAAGCAAGTAAAGTATTAATTAAGCACTCTTTTAATGAGATCAGTTTGATTTAGGATAAATAATTTGGCATTTCTTAATTATTGAAACCTTTTTTTTAGATTTAAATTTTTGTTAGAATTTAGATGACCTCTAAGGGTGTGTCTAATGTTACCTTTCATTGGTTTGTAGGAAATAACTTTTCAGAGAAGGAAGTGTGGGCTTATGGAAACAAATCTGGCAAGGTAAACATAGTGTAGTTTTATATGGTTAATAGCATTTCAGGTACAGAAAAGTACAAATCAGAAAAAGCAAACATTTTCCAAATTTTGGTAATGAATATGAATTATTGGTATAAACAGATAAATGATAAAGAATAAAATGTAGTTTCAGGAAATAAGATATTTAAATGTTACAATAAAACATTCTAAACTTTTTCCCCCTAGTGCAAGATAGTATTGGGCTAATTTGAGTTAATCAGCAGTTTTTTTTTGTTTGTTTTTTTTTTTTTTTTGAGATGGAGCCTTGTTCTGTCGCCCAGGCTGGAGTATAGTGGCGAGATCTTGGCTCACTGCAGCCTCTGCCTCCCGGGTTCAAGTGATTCTCCTGCCTCAGCCTTCTGAGTAGCTGGGACTACAGGCACACGCCACCACCCCTGGATCATTTTTGTATTTTTAGTAGAGATGGAGTTTCACCATGTTGGCCAGGATGGTCTCCTTGGCCTGCCTTGGCCTCCCAAAGTGTTGGGATTACAGGCGTGAGCCATCGCGCCCGGTCTAATCAGAAGTTTTTATCAGTGCTGTTCCATTGATAGATTCTGGCCCTCATAGAAACTTCTGGAAGAAATACTGTACTGTATTGCTGTTGCTGTAGAGATGTATACCTCTTTTTATAAAGTTATGTTCTAGATTTGCAACAAGTTAATTTTTGTAAGCGGAAATATTTTATTTTACCTTTTATTTAACCTTTATACCCATGTCCAGTGACTTAGAAAAACTGCTATTGCTGTATCTTTGCTTTTTTTCCTTTAGCTATTCTTATTTACTCTTCTATTGGCTAGGGATATGTTAAAAATACAAAAAACAAAGACCTTAAATTTTTACCTGGCAGCTGTTTGTTGTTTGTTTGCTTTAATCTTGTAAAACAAGACTGCTTTTAAGTAAGTTTATCAAATAGGAATTTTTAAAAAAGTTCTTTATGTCAGGAGACACTTTTCCTTTTATCAAATAGGAATTTTTAAAAAAGTTCTTTATGTCAGGAGACACTTTTCCTTTGCTTTTGAATGTACATGCATTTTAATTACATTATCATATTCTTATGTAAGGTATATATTTTCTAGGGTTTCTATGTTAAGACAGAGTAATGCTAGGCAAAGAGTTCTTTTTCCTTTTTTTTTTTTAATTTTATTTTTTTGAGATGGAGTTTCGCTCTTGTTGCCCAGGCTTAAGTGCAGTGGCACGATCTCGGCTCACCGCAACTTCTTGCCACCTGGGTTCAAGCGATTCTCCCACTGCAGCCTCCCGAGTAGCTGAGATTACAGGCATGGGCCACCACACCCAGCTAATTTTGTATTTTTAATAGAGACAGGGTTTCTCTATATTAGTCAGGCTGGTCTTGAACTCCTGACCTCAGGTGATCCACCTGCTTCAGCCTCCCAAAGTGCTGGGATTACAGGCGTGAGCCACGCGCCCAGCCAAGTTCTTTTTCAACTTGATGCCAAAAGCATGAGCCATAAAAGGAAATATTAGTAAACTGGACATCATGAAAATTAAGAATTTTTACCTGATTAAAGACTGTTAAGAGGATGCAAAGACAAGCTACAAACTGGAAGAACATTTGCAAATCACATATCTGGCAACTGATTGTATCTAGAATATTTAAAGAACCCTCAACAGTTTAAAAAAAAAAAGTCAATTCAAAAAAATGGGCAAAATTAGACAGGTGTGGTGGCTCTCATCTGTAGTTTCAGCTACTAGGGAGGCTTGAATAGGAGCATCGCTTGAGATGGGGATTTTGAGGCGGCAGTGAGCTGTGACTTCACCACCGCTACACTCCAGCCTGGGCCACAGAGCAAGGCCCTGCCTAAAAAATAAGGGCAAAAGACACCAAGAAACATTTCACTGAAGAGGACATACAAATAGCAAACAAGTGACAACATGTTCAACATTATTAGACATCAGGGAAATGCAAATTGAAATCACCGTAAGATATCACTACTTACCTGTTAGAATAGTTAAAATTAAAAAAACTGTAACACTAAATGCTGCCAGGGACTTGGAGAAACTTGAACTTTTATACATTGCTGGTGGGAATGTATAATTGTATATCCACTATAGATAGAAAACAGCTTGCTTTTTTTTTTCTTTTTTAAGAGACAGGGTCTCTCTCTCTTTGTGTCTACATATATCTTTTAAAAATTTTTTATAAAAATAGAGATGGGGTCTTGCTGTGTTGCCCAGGCTGGTTTTGAACTCCTGGGCTCAAGCAGTCCTCCTGTCTTGGCCTCCCAGAATGTTGGGATTACAGGTGTGAGCCACCACATCCAGTCTATTTTTTTTGTTTTTTTTGAGACAGAGTTCCGCTCTTGTTGCCCAGGCTGGAGTGCAGTGGTGGGATCTTGGCTAGATTGTCCTTCTTTATGGGTGGTCTTGGCACCTTTGTATAAAATTCTTGAAATGACAGAATTACAGTGATGGAGAATAGTGGTGTTCAGGGATTTAGGGACATGAGGGATATGTGGTATACAGTAACATGAGGGATCTTTGTGGTGATGAACAGTCTTGTATCTTGATAGTGATTACACACATCTGCAAATGTGATAAAATTGCATAGAGTTATACACCCACCCCCCCCCCCCACACACACACACACACAACCGAGTGATGACATCTGAATACAGTAGTCCTCCCTTATCTGCATGGGATAAATACTTTCCAAGACCTCCAGGGGATGCCTGAAACCACTGATAGTCCTGAACCTTGTGCTTTCTCCTATATATGCATACCTATGATAGGATTTAATTTATGTTAGTCTAACAACAATAATAACACAGAGCAATGATAACAATATGCCGGCATTACTACTCTTGCACTCTGGGGCCATTATTAAGTAAAATAAGGGTTACTTGAAACCAGGCACTGCTAAGTGATAGGCAGGAGGGACAGTGTGAGATTTCATCATGCTACTTAGAACAACACAAAATTTACAACTTAGGAATTGTTTATTTTTTCTGTTATTTTCCATTTAATATTTTCAGACTGGGCTTGACCACAAGTAATTGAAAATGCCGATGGGGCAGGGGTGGGGGGACTATAAAGTATATGGATTGCACCACTGTCGATTTCTTGGGTTTGATATTGTGCTAGAGTTATACAGGGTGTTAGCATTTGGGAGAAACTGGGTAAAGGTTACAGGAAACCTTTCTGTACAGTTCCCCCTTGTCCTATGGGACTGTATTTCAGAATAAGAAGTTTTTAAAAAAAGTCACCTGTAACCATGCATTATTATCAATCCTTTTTCAAATAAAGAACTTAATATTTGTAGTTATAAATACAACTACATGGTTGCTCTATTAACATGTTCAAGGAACAGGAAGTTGAAATAGAGAAACCTGTAGTTTAAGACAGAAATTCCGTCTTAATTTTATTTTTTTGTTATTATTTTTGAGACAAAGTCTTGCTGTGTTGCTCAGGCTGGTCTTGAACTCCTGGACTCAAGCAATCCTCTTGGCTTGGCCTCCCAGAGTGCTGGGATTACAGGCATGAGCCACCACGCACAGCTACCATCCTAATTTTAAATAGCAGTCTTCATTTAAACTTGTGTGGTTGCTTGGAAAATGGAATAAAGGATCAGCATAAAAGTTTATTTATTGAGCCCTTATATGCCGTTGTATTGAGATGCTGCGGGAACGCAAAGGTAATTGATGTGATATCCCTACCTTGAGGTGCTACATTTAGTAGCACTATGTAAACAACGTTTTTTATTTATTTATTTATTTAATTTTTTTTTTGAGACAGTTTCGCTCTTGTCGCCCAGGCTGAAGTGCAGTAGCACCATCTCGGCTCACTGCAACCTCTGCCTCCTGGGTTCAAGCGATTCTCCTGCCTCAGCCTCCCGAGTAGCTGGGGTTACAGGCGTGTGCCACCAGGCACAGCTAGTTTTTTGTATTTTTTAGTAGAGACGGGGTTTCTCCACGTTGGTCAGGCTGTTCTCGAACTCCTGACCTCAGGTGATCTGCCCGCTTCAGCCTCCCAAAGTGCTGGGATTACAGGCGTAAGCCACCGTGCCTGGCCTTTTTTTTTTTTTTTTTTTTTTTTAAAGTGAAACAAGTTTATTAAGAAAGTAAAGGAATAAAGACTGGCTACTCTGCCAGGTGCAGTGGCTCTCGTCTGTAATCCCAGTACTTTGGGAGGCCGAGGCGGGCGGATCACCTGAGGTTGGGAGTTTGAGACCAGCCTGACCAACATGGAGAAACCCCATCTCTACTAGAAATACAAAATTAGCTGGGTGTGGTGGTGCACACCTGTAATCCCAGCTACTCAGGAGGCTGAGGCGGGAGAATCGCTTGAACCCGCGAGGTGGAGGTTGCAGCGAGCTGAGATCATGCCACTGCACTCCAGCCTGGGGAACAAGAAATTCCGTCTCAGAAAAAAAAAAAAAGAATGGCTACTCCATAGGCAGAGCAGCCAGTAGTAAATGAATTTTTTTTTTCTTTTTTTTTTTTGAGATGGAGTTTCACTCTTGTTGCCCAGGCTGGAGTGTAGTGGCACGATCTCAGCCCACCGCAACCTCGGCCTCCCAGGTTCAAGCGATTCTCCCGCCTCAGCCTCAGAAGTAGCTGGGACTACAGGCGTGTGCCACCACAACCGGCTAATTTTTGTATTTTTAGTAGAAATGTTGTTTCACCATGCTGGCCATGGCTAGTCTTAAACTCCTGACCTCAGGTGATACACCCGCCTCGGCCTCCCAAAGTGCTGGGATTATAGGCTTGAGCCATCGCTCCCAGCCAGTAAATGAATTTCTAAGGAAATAGTCTGGCAGGCCGGGCTTAGTGACTCATGCCTGTAATCCCAGAGTGACTCACGCCTGTAATCCCAGAACTTTGGGAGGCCGAGGCAGGTGGATCACCTGAGGTCAGGAGTTTGAGATAAGCCATGGCCAACATGGTGAAACCCCATTTCTACTAAGAATACAAAAATTAGCTGGTCGTGGTTGCACATGCCTGTAGTCCCAGTTGCTTGTGAGGCAAATCACATCAAATCTTTGTTTTGTTTTGAGACAGGGTCTTGCTCTGTTGTCCGGACTAGAGTGCAGTGGCAACATCAAGGCCCGCTGCACCCTCCACTTCCTCGGCTCAAGCAATCCTCCTCCCTCCCTCCCTATAGCTGGGACTATAGGCATGCACCACCACACCTGGCTAATTTTTCCTTTTGATAAAGTCTTGCTCTGTCACCCAGGCTGGAGTGCAGGGATGTGATGATGGCCTACTGCAGCCTCAATCTCCCAGACCCAAGTGAACCTCCCACCTTATCTGCCTCCGTAGCTGGGACTACAGGCACGCGCCACCATGCTCAGCAAATTAAAAAAAATTTTTTTTTGGTAGAGACAGGGTTTTGCCACGTTGCCCAGGCTGGTCTTGAACTACTGGGTTCAAGCAATCCTCCCACCTTGAACCATGTGTCAAATCTTTGCCCCAGCCAAATATTTGAAGAAAATAAAGAAATTGGGTAATTTCTCCAATCTAACCCTCCTAAATGCTGATGGAGCTGGCTAGTAGAAACAGTTTTATTTTCTGATAAAACTCGAGCCCTTTCCTTCTCAGCCTTCTCAGAGTTTATTTTTTTTCTTTTGGGAGTTCTTAGTTTCCTTTGAGAATCTAGCAAGAGTTAAAAGACCTCCTGAGAAAAGCACACATGCATAATTTGGTATGTAATTTCGGAGGGTTCTTTGATCTGTGGAGTGAAGCTCATTTATGCAGATCTAATGCTGTCTCTTAAATCAGCAAGTTTGATGCCCATTTTGTGTACTATTGGGATGCTGTTTTGGTGTTTCAGGAACTTGTAGTCTGTAGAAAAATAAAAGTTCCATAATACAGCTGCTTTAGGGTTGTTATTACAGAAAAAGTCAAGAGAAGCTGGCTTCTACCAGTCTGGTTCATGGAGGGCTTTGAGGAGGAGTTCATGGCACTTGTGCTTGACCTTTAAAAGATCTGTCAAATTTGACACACAGAAAAAGGAAAATATTTAAGGCTGAGGGAAAAGAACAAGCAAGACAAAGTTTATGCTGAAAGAAGTTGTGTAGTTGGAGTATATGATAAACTGAACTAGTGGGAAAACTATCTGGAAAGGTTGACGTTTGTGGAAGACCTTAAAAATGCTGGGGTAGGCCAGGTGCAGTGACTCACACCTGTAATCCCAGCACTTTGGGAGGCCAAGGCAGGAGAATCTCTTGAACCCAGAAGGCAGAGGTTGCAGTGAGCTGAGATCACGCCACTGCATTCCAGCCTGGGTGACTGAGTGAGACTCTGTCTCAAAAAAAAAAAAAAAAAAAAAAATTTGACCGGGCACGGTGGCTCACGCCTGTATTCCCAGCACTTTGGGAGGCCGAGGCAGGTGGATCACGAGGTCAGGAGATCGAGACCATCCTGGCCAACACAGTGAAACCCGTCTCTACTAAAAATACAAAAATTAGCCGGGTGTGGTGGCACGTGCCTGTAGTGCCAGCTACTCGGGAGGCTGAGGCAAGAGAATCGCTTGAACCCAGGTGTTCAAGAACCTCTTGAACCGAGGTTGCAGTGAGCCAAGATCGCCACTACACTCCAGCCTGGTGACAGAACAAGACTCTGTCTAAAAAAAAAAAAATGCTGGGGTGTGACATTATATGTGTGTGTGTGTGTGTGTGTGTATATATATATATATCAACGAAACTCTATATATATATGGGGTTTCGTTGATCGACACTAGTTTATATTAGTTGGTAATACAATATAGCTACTTCACCACAATATTATACACATTCTTCCCCCTTCTTACATATTTTTCTTTTCCATTTACTTGTTTAAGCAAGTGACACTTGTTGAGACACCTTCAGTGTCTCATCAAGGTCCTTATTTTTCTTTCAAAGTTTTTGTTGTTGTTGTTGTTGTTTTCGAGATGGAGTCTCACTCTGTCGCCCAGGCTGGAGTGCAGTGGCGTGATCTCGGCTCACCGCAGCCTCCGCCTCCTGGGTTCAAGCAATTCTCCTGCCTCAACCTCCTGGGTACGTGGGACTACAGGCGCCCGCCACCACACCTGGCTAATTTTTTGTATTTTTAGTAGAGACGGGGTTTCACTGTGTTGGCCAGGATGGTCTCGATCTCCTGACCTCGTGATCCGTCCGTCTCACCCTCCTAAAGTGCTGGGATTACAGGCGTGAGCCAGTGTACCCGGCCACACCCGGCTGATTTTTGTATTTTAGTAGAGACGGGGTTTCTCCGTGTTGCCCAGGCTGATCTTGAACTCCTGAGCTCAGGCAGTCTGCCCGCCTCGGCCTCCCAAAGTGCTGGGATTACAGGGGTGAGCCACCATGCCCGGCCTCATACAAAATATTTTTGAATGAGCTGGATTCAAACATTTTCTCTGTAGGAATGGTGAAAATGTCATTATCAGGAAAATGATCTAGCTGTATTATCTATAATACAGCCACCACGCCCACCCCTGAAGTATTTTCTTTAATGAACAACTCTGTCATGACTATAGCTTTTCTGTATAATTTAAAAAATTACTACAAAAATTAACATTGTTTTCTTCTTGGCTTTTCCTCCCACATCTCTGAAGTTCCTGTCTGGTCCTCTGCCCTAGCAGCCTTAAATTTCCTACCCAGCTTTCTGACCGTAGTTTCCAAAAGAGAATACTAAGTTTCACTTATTTGCAATAGCAGAACCAAGACAGCTAGACTTCATTAATCTTCAAACTTGTCATT
Organism: Homo sapiens; assembly: GCF_000001405.40. NCBI lineage: Eukaryota > Metazoa > Chordata > Mammalia > Primates > Hominidae > Homo > Homo sapiens. The sequence continues at coordinate 4,352,406 of NC_000017.11, read as the reverse complement.
TAACAAAGTTTAGGCCTGGTGCAGTGGCTCACGCCTGTAATCCCAGCACTTTGGGAGACTAAGACAGGAGGATCGCTTGAGCCCGGGAGTTGGAGGCTGCAGTGAGCCATGAGTGCATCACTGCCCTCCAGCCTGGTTGACACAGCAAGACCCCCTCTTAGAAAAACAATGTTTAAATTAGATCTACATAGAGAATGAATATAAAATTAATGTTGATACGATGATCCCTTTTCTACTTAGGTCCTGGGGAGCCTGTGGGGTCATATGATCCTTTGATTTTGTCACTTTTTTTGAGGATGTGTCAAATATATTTAAAAGACGGAGTTTCACCATGTTGGCCAGGCTGGTCTCTAACTCCTCACCTCACCCGCCTCAGCCTTTCGAAGTGCTGGGATTGCAGGCGTGAGCCACTGCACCTGGCCAAGACCACCGCATTTTATACCACTGCACACTGTCTGTTAAACTCTGAAGTCTTTGTAACTTTTGGAAGGGGAACTAATAACTATTGGTGATGGCCGCATCTGGTATTTTGAGTCTGTTTGCCATCTTTTGGGCTTTAGGATTCTAAAACTAAATTACTTATTTAAGGTTTATATAGAGAGAGGAGTGTTATTCCGAGGTCTTCCTTGATACTCTTTCACCCTAGGTAAACAGAGGATTGTATTTCCCTATTTTTTTGTATTTAGCAGTGCGTAAGGTTTATATTATCCTCATTAGTACTTTAGGCTGTGCTAATTTCTTTTTTCTGTTCATTCTTTTTTCTTCTTTTACTTGGCACTGACAAAGCTCAGAATAATTTCTGATTTTCAGACTGCTGTGAACATTTATGGTATGATAGTTCCCCTAGGAAAATACTGTATTTTTGCTATCTTCTCTGGTTATTTCTACATCTCTCCCTTAGGATGACACCTTTGCTCTTCTTCTGCCCTGAGCATTTGCCAAATGGATACAACAAAATTCTCGTTATCCAGTTTGGTTTATATTTAACTCTTGCAGGTGCAGCAGTGGCACAGACGAGGGTATTGTGTTGCCTGCTACCCTCTTCAGCCTCTAAGCCATATGGCATGGCTATTGGGGAAGCAATATGACTGTGATAGGATTTTTGTTTTTAAATAAACCTTTTTAGAAGAGTTTCAGATACACAGAAGAACTGTGAGAATAGTACAGTGAGTTCTTACATACCCTGCATTCAGTTTCTCTTATTTTTAACCTTTCCCCCACCCCCCAGCCCCCGTGAGACAGTCTCCCTCTGTCAGCCAGGCTCACTGCAACCTCTGCCTCCTGGGCAGAGGTGATTCTCCTGTCTCAGAGTCCCGAGTAGCTGGGATTACAGGCACGCACCACTACACCTGGCTAAATTTTTTTTTTTTTTTTTTGACGAAGTCTTGCTCTGTCGCCCAGGCTGGAGTGCAGTGGTGAGATCTCGGGTCACTGCAAGCTCTGCCTCCCGAGTTCACGCCATTCTCCTGCCTCAGCCTCCCGAGTAGCTGGGACTACAGGCGCCTGCCACCATGCCCGGCTAGTTTTTTTGTATTTTTAGTAGAGGCGGGGTTTCACCATGTTAGCCAGGATGGTCTCGACCTCCTGACCTCGTGATCTGCCCTCCTCGGCCTCCCAAAGTGCTGGGATTACAGACGTGAGCCAACACGTCCAGCCTCATACTATTTTTAAATGAGCTGGATTCAAACATTTTCTCTGTTGGAATGGCGAAGACATCATTATCAGGAAAATGATATAGCTGCATCATCTAAGAGTGATTTAAATAGATAAATTATAACCTAAATAATTACGTCTAAGTTGCTGGGTGCACATTTTTACAATTAGTTTAATTTGGAGACTGACACTGTTCAGAGCCAGATGTTCTCTGAATTCTTTATTATTTATTTTGAAATGTTCAAGGTGATACTTAGTTTTAACTGCCTTGACAGTGTTCTTTTTTGTTTTTTTTGAGACAGGGTCTTGCTCTGTTGCCCAGGCTGGAGTGCAGTGGCACAATCTCAGCTTACTGCAGCCTCTGCCTCCCAGGTTCAAGCAATTCTCCCACCTCAGCCACCTGAGTAGCTGGGATTACAGGCGCACCACCATGCTCAGCTAATTTTTGTATTTTTGGTAGAGACGAGGTTTCACCATGTTGGCCAGGCTGGTCCTAAACTCCTGACCTCAGGTGATCCACCCTTCTCAGCCTCCCAAAGTGCTGGGAATACAGGTGTGAGTTACCACGCCTGGCCAACAATGTTCTAAGTTAGTTACATTAGCCATAATATGTAAGATAGAAATTTGCTCATTTGTATATAAGAAGATTCTGAAAAAGTTTTAAGCGCTGGGTGCAGTGACTTAACTTCTGTAATCCCAACATTTTGGGAGGCCGAGGCAGGAGGATTGCTTGAGTCCAGGAGTTTTGAGACCAGCCTGAGCAAGATGGTGAGGTCCCCTCTCTCCCACTTTGAATAGGTATGCTATAAGTAACAGGCCTTTGAAACTCATTTTGGGTATTGTGAAGATGTTATATTACAGTGTCCTTTTATTTATTTAATTTGAGGTTAAATGTAATTTTTTTTTTTTTTGAGACGGAATCTCGCTCTGTCGCCGAGACTGGAGTGTAGTGGCGCAATCTCGGCTCACTGCAAGCTCCGCCTCCCGGGTTCATGCCATTCTTCTGCCTCAGCCTCCCGAGTAGCTGGGACTACTGGTGCATGCCACCACGCCCGGCTAATTTTTTGTATTTTTAGTAGAGACGGGGTTTCACCGTGTTAGCCAGGATGGTCTCAATCTCCTGACCTCGTGATCCGCCCACCTCGGCCTCCCAAGCTGCTGGGATTACAGGCGTGAGCCACAGCGCCTGGCCAATTAAATGTATTTTATTTTTAGACAACTATGTGACGTGTTTTTTTTTTAAAAACAATGCCTCCATTCCAAATCAAAATAAATGAAGAGTTCAAGATGACATCAGTTCCATTTGTTTTAAGTTCTGGTGTTGTGTGAATGACAAGCAGCAGCCAGTTATGACGGCAGGTGATCCAAAGTAATTGCCAAATTTGTTAACATTTTTCCATCTCTAAACCATCCTTAAAGAAAAACATATATGGTGTCACACCATTCTCATGGTAGTCCTAGGCTGGAGTGCAGTGGTGCAAATTTGGCTCACTGCAACCTCTGCCTCCCGGGTTCAAGCAATTCTCCTGCCTCAGCATCCTGAGTAGCTGGGACTACACGCATGCGCCACGACATCTGGCTAATTTTTGTATTTTAGTAGAGACAGGGTTTCACCATGTTGGTCAGGCTGTTTTCAAACTCCTGACCTCGTGATCTGCCCACCTCGGCCTCCCAAAGTGCTGAGATTACAGGCGTGAGCCACCTCGCCCAGCCTAATTTTTGTATTCTTAGTAGAGACTGGGTTTCACCATGTTGGCCAGGCTGGTCTTGAACTCTTGACCTCGTGATCTGCCTGCCTTGGCCTCCCAAAGTGCTGGGATTACAGGTGTGAGCGACCGTGCCCGGCCCTATTATTATTAATTAATTAATTTTTATTTTTATTTTTATTTTTTTGAGACGGAGTCTTGTTGTGTCTCCCAGGCTGGAGTGCAGTGGCATAATCTCAGCTGACTGCAACCTCTGCCTCCCAGGTTCAAGTGATTCTTGTGCCTCAGCCTCCTGAGTACCTGGAATTATAGGCACATGCCACCATGCCTAGTTAATTTTTGTATTTTAGTAGTGGTGGGGTGTCACCATGTTGGCCAGGCTGGTCTTGAACTGCTGATCTCATGATCTACCCACTTCAGCCTCCCAAAGTGCTGGGATTACAGGCATGAGCCATTGCCCCCGGCCTGTTCTTTAATTTTTTTTTTTTTTTTTTTGAGACGGAGTCTCGCTCTGTCGCCCAGGCTGGAGTGCAGTGGCGGGATCTCGGCTCACTGCAAGCTCTGCCTCCCGGATTCACGCCATTCTCCTGCCTCAGCCTCCCAAGTAGCTGGGACTACAGGCGCCCGCCACTACGCCCGGCTAATTTTTTGTATTTTTAGTAGAGACGGGGTTTCACCGTTTTAGCCGGGATGGTCTCGATCTCCTGACCTCGTGATCCGCCCGCCTCGGCCTCCCAAAGTGCTGGGATTACAGGCGTGAGCCACCGCGCCCGGCCTATTTTTTTCTTTACAGACAGGGTCTTGCTCTGTCACCTAGACTGGAGTGCAGTGGTGTGGTTATAGCTCACTGCAGCCTCAGCCTCCTGGGCTTAGGTGATCCTCCTGCCTCAGCCTCCCAAGTAGTTGGGACTACAGGTGCACGCCATTGCGCCTGGCTAACTTTTAAAATTTCTTGGCCAGGTGTCCACTAATCTTAATCGTTTCTAGCGTTTGATTTAAAGTGAGACCACTTGAACATTTAGAGGCCATTCTAGGGTTATTATTTGACTTAATTTCAGTATTGTTGTGTCTCAGGATAATTGGGAGTCCTGAGAATCAGGGAGACAGACAGGAACTGGCAGTTGGTGGAGCAGTCAGAACACACACAACGTTTATTAAGCTTGCTTTCTCATATGGGCACAATTCGTGGTGCCCCAAAACAATTATAATAGAAAAACCAAAGATCACTGATCACAGATCACCATAACAAATATAGTAATAATGAAAAAAACTGGCCAGGCGCGGTGGCTCACGCCTTTATCCTGTCACTTTGGGAGGCTGAGATGGGTGGATCACTTGAGGTCAGGAGTTTGAGACCAGCCTGGTCCACGTGGTGAAAACCTGTATCTACTAAAAGAATACAAAAATTAGCCAGACATGGTGGCATTTGCCTGTAGTTGCAGCTATTTGGGAGGCTGAGGCATGAGAATCTCTCAAACCTAGGAGGTGGAGGTTGCAGTGAGCTGAGATTGTGCCACTGCACTCCAGTCTGGGTGACAGAGCGAGACTCTATGTCCAAAAAAAAAAAAAAAAAAAAAAGAAGAAATACTGTGAGAATTACCGAAATATGACACAGAGACATCAAGTGAGCACATGATGTTGGAAAAATGGCACTGATAGACTTGCTTGATGAACCTTCAATTTGTTAAAAACACAGTAACTGAAGTGCATTAAAACAAGATGTGCCTGTGAATGAAACATAAATAAATTTTGTGTTTAATAGACTTGGGTTACATTTCCAGGATGTCTCATTATGTGTATGCAAATATTCCAAAATCTGAAATCCAGAATGTTTTTGGTCCCAAGCATTTTAGATAAGGGATACTCAACCTGTGGTACATTTATTATTATTTTTTTGAGCTGGAGTAACTCTGTTGCCCAGGGCTGGAGTGCAGTGGCATGATCTTGGCTCACTGCAACCTCCGCCTCCTGGGCTCAAGCGATCCTCCTGCCTCCGCCTCCTGAGTGGCTGAGATTACAAGCATACACCACCATGCCCGGCTAATTTTTGTATTTTTAGTAGAGACGGGGTTTCACTGTGTTGGCCAGGTTGGTCTCCAACTCCTGACCTCAAGTGATCCGCCCGCCTTGGTCTCCCAAAGTGCTGGGATTACAGGCATGAGCCACCGCGTCTGATCCTGTGCTACATTATATCACTAGCACATAACACAATACTGGGCATATATAGATACTCAGCAAATATATTTTGAATGAATCACAGAGTTTAAGTTTCCTCTGTCTTCCTTTCTTGACTTCTATTGAAAATGTAAGCTGGAGCTGGACGCGGTGGCTCACACCTGTAATCACAGCACTTTGGGAGGCCGAGGCGGGTGGATCACGAGGTCAGGAGTTCAAGACCAGCCTGGCCAACATAGTGAAACCCCGTCTCTACTAAAAATACAAAAATTAGCCGGGCATGGTGGTGCACACCTATAGTCCCAGCCACTTGGGAGGCTGAGGCAAGAAGAATCGCTTGAACCCAGGAGGCAGAGGTTGCAGTGAGCCGAGATCGCGCCACTGCACTCCAGCCTGGGCAACAGCGCGAGACTCTGTCTCAAAAAAAAAAAAAAAAAAAAAGAAGAAGAAAATGTAAGCTGTATAGATGAGACTGCAGTAACTCATCTACTGTGAAGGACCATACAAAACAAGTGTATTAGCTATCTAATACATATTTAGGATTATTTCGGTATAAGTCTGGATAAGGAGCAACAAAGGGTGTGGAGGGGAGTCTGTGTGGTTTTTACAGGTAAGGATTTAGGCTTTTAGTCTGAGTGAGGCATTCATGGTTATTGTTGGTTAGTACTAACATTTGATGTTTATTTAATTAGTGTAAAAGGCTTTCAGAAGGTAGAAAGTATGAGTTAAAATTGGTCTTCAGATTACTGGTTGTAAATCAGACTGTATTTTAAGGTTAGTCATTTTTATAAAGAGGAAGTTGTTTAGCAATTCTGAATCCTATATTGTTGCAATATCAATAGCAGATGCTAGAATCCTATTAGTAATCCCAAGGTAAAATGAATTCTAAAAGTGCAATCTTGAATTATTCAACACTTGGTATCCAAATTATATGAAATATAATCATCCATTTTATGATTTTGAATAGAACTGTAGGTTGTTTTCTTAAATAAGAGTTGTTCTTCCTCCGCCTTCTCATTTTGAGTCCCTGGAATCTGTTCTATTTTTACTTGGGGATCTACATACTAAAGCTGTCTCTGATTTCATGCTCTGAAGATCAACAAGAGACCTTCCCTTGTAAGATGAGAATTGTGTAGTAGGTGACTATTAGAAGAGTAAACAAGTCTTAAGTCTGTAAACATTTTTTCAGTAAATGCAATGGAGTACCAGATATCTCTCGTTACTATGACTAAAGAAAGTTCAATGGTAAATTCAGTAGCTGTTTATTTGCCTTGATAAGTAATTGCTAGAAGTAATAGTAATTGTTTTTATAGTGTTACCGAAGGTTTATTTACTGTATGTGTGATTTTTAAAGTTTTAAAGGGATCAATGAAAGTTATGTATAGGGAATATTTGTAAGTTACTGGAAATAAGCCAGGAATTGAATTTTTAAAAGTGCCTTTCAGAGTAAATTATATTTTCATTTTCTTTATAGAATGAAAGTGGAACAATATTGTTTAAAATTCAAATTGAGCATCATTTGTACTTTTCAGGCCATTAGAATCTGCTCGAGGCTTGTGTGGGAAAGATTATTTGATTATTTATTAGATTACCTTTGGCTAAACATTGCAGAGAAAAGTTGTTGACACCTTTTCCCCTCAAACAAAGTAATAACCCCCTGAATCTAAAATAAAAGTTGGAAAAAAGTCATGAAAACTAAGTTGCTCATGAGGGGCTTGGACTTCCTTGTATTTCTGGCTGCCCATTTGGTGCTGTCACTCTGCTTGTCCCTTCTGGGCTTCTTGCTTTAATGTGACATCATATCAGACTTTTAGTTCTGAATTAATGTATTTGCAAAGCTCATTTAAAATTTTCAGTAATTCTGTTTGTAATTTGAAGTTTGATTCTTCATTTCTTAGCCACATAAACATTTTTGAATTTTGAATTGTGGGAAATTTCTGAAGGCAGGTAAAATACTTATTTTTTAATACCTTAACTCTCATCCCTTTTATTTTTTATTTATTTTTTATATATTTAGGGACAGAGTCTCTGTAGCCCAGGCTGCAATGAGGTGGCACAGTGATAGCTCACTGCAGCCTCAAACCCCTGGGCTCAAGTGATCCTCCTGTCTCAGCCTCCCATGTAGCTAGGACTATACCACCACATGGTACACCACCACACCCAGCTAAGTTTTATGTTTATTTTTTGTAGAGATGGGGGTTTCTCATTGTGTTGCCCAGGCCGGTCTCAAACCTCTGGCCTCAGCCTCCCAAAGTGCTAGGATTACAGGTGTGAGTCACCGCACCTGGCTGAGAGCTTTTTCCTTTCCTTTTTTTTTTTTGAGAGCTTTCTTCATATGGCGTTTCACTCTTGTCGTCCAGGCTGGAGTGCAGTGGCGCAATCTCGGCTCATTGCAGCCTCCGCCTCCCGGGTTCAAGAGATTCTCCTGCCTCAGCCTCCCGAGTAGCTGGCACTACAGGCCCCCATCACCACACCCAGCTAATTTTTTGTAGTTTTAGTAGAGACGGGGTTTCACTGTGTTAGTCAGGATGGTTTCAATGTCCTGACCTCGTGATCCGCCTGCCTCGGCCTCCCAAAGTGCTGGGATTACAGGCGCGAGCCACCGCGCCCGGCCGGGCTTCTTGATTGTAGATTCTTTGAGGTACAGACTTACTTTGTATAACACTCAGTGTTAACAGCTCTAAGTACTTAACTCTTGATTGCTTTTTTTCTTGGTATGCAATTTATTCCTCCTATGAACTTGCTTTACGATTGATTGAGAATAACCTTGGCTCCTCCTTCAATAAATGAAGGACTTAGTGCTGTTTTAGAAGCCTGTTGGAGTACCATTGTATTTGTTTGCCTGTTTTTGTCTTTTGGCTAATAGTCATTGCTATTTTTTTCCAGAAACATCCCCAGAGCTTTAGTCTCCAGAGTTTGTATCTGTTGCAACTGAGGAGAAATCTACCAGTATAAATGTTTCTGCTCCTCTTGAAAAAAGGTTTGAGGCTGGGCGCGGTGGCTCACGCCTGTAATCCCAGCACTTTGGGAGAATGAGGCGGGCGGATCATGAGGTCAGGAGATCGAGACCATCCTGGCAAACAAGTGAAACCCTGTGTCTAATTAAAGTACAAAAAATTAGCCGGGCGTGGTGGTGGGCGCCAGTAGTCCCAGCTACTCAGAAGGCTGAGGCAGGAGAATGGCGTGAACCCAGGAGGCGGAGCTTGCAGTGAGCCGAGATTGCGCCACCACACTCCAGCCTGGGCGACAGAGCGAGACTCCGTCTCAAAAAAAAAAAGAAAAAAGGTTTGAAGAAGAGTATAGTGAAATGCCACCCAAACCAACCTTCATATATATGAAAAGAGGGCTTGGACATAAAATTTTTTTTTGAGATGGAGTCTCACTCTTTTCATCCAGGCTGGAGTCCAGTGTCATGATTTTGGCTCACTGCAACCTCCGCCTCCTGGGTTAAAGCAATTCTTCTGCCTCAGCCTCCCTTGTAGCTGGGACTACACCTCAGGTGACCCACCCACCTGGGCCTCCCAAAGTGCTGGGATTACAGGCGTGAGCTACCGCGCCTGGCCTGGACTTGTTATTAATATAAACTTTTAGAGCCTTTAAGCCATAGGATCATGTAAAAATTACCTTATGTTGGTACTTTGAATTTAAAGTGCTGGCAGATCACACATAATCTTCAAATTGAATTCTACATTTAACAAATATTTGAGTGCCTACTTTTGTAAACATAGCAGTACATTAAAGAACAGGACATGAAAGTTTTGCTGGTACAAAGTTTTGCAGTTATTGTGGGAAGACAGATGGTAAACTAGATAATTAAATTAAAAATGTGGTGTATTAGGTAGTGATAAGTGCCCTGGAGAGAAAATAAAGCGGGGAAAGGGAATGAAAAGTTGAGGGTGGAGTACTGATGTCTTGAAGAGCTTTCCAGGCCAAGAGAAGAACAGTACAGGGGCGCTGCAGTGGGAGAGAGGCCTGGCAATGTCAGAGGAGCAGCAAAGGGTGTGGAGGGGAGGCTGTGTGATTTTTTACAGGTAAGGATTTAGGCTTTTACTCAGAGTGAGGTACCCGTGAGGTTTTTCAGCACTGGAGTGATATGACCTGATTTACATTTTAATGAGATCATTCTTGGCTTGCTATGCTGAGAATATAGACTGCACGGAGAGTCAGATGAGACATGATGCTAGCTTGGACCTGTATTGGAGCCGAGAACAAAGTGGTTTAATTCTTGGGTGTATTTCCTAAATAGAGCTGTTGGAATTTGCTGGTGGAATAGAATTCTTTTCTTTTTCTTTGAGGCAGGATCTCGATTTGTTGCCCAGCAGGAGTTCAGTGGCACAAACATGGCTCACCACAGCCTCGAACCCCTGGGCTCAAGCCTCAGCTTCCCCAGTAGCTGGGACCATAGGCATGCACCACTGCGCCTGACTAATGTTTAACATTTTTTGTAGAAATGGGGTCTCACTTTGTTGTCCAGCCTGGCCTCCTAAAATGCTGGGATTACAGGTATGAGCTACTGCGCCTGGCCTAGAAGGAACACAATATTTGAAGGGTAGAGTGTGTGAGAGAATGTGTCAAGGATGATTTCAGGGTTTTTGGCCTGAACATCTGAAAGGATGGAGTTGACATTAACTGAAATGGAAAAGAAAGACGCAGGACAAGGAGAGATAATCAGGGGCTTGGTTTTGAATATGCTACTTTTGATTTGTCTATTAGACACTGAAGTAGAGAAGTCACATAGGCAGCTTACTATATTTGATCTGGAATTCAGTGAGGAGGTTTAGCTTAGAGATATAAAGTGGGAAATTGTTAGCATATGGATTGCATATAAACTATGAAGTTGGATGGGCTCAATAAGGGAGTAACTGTAGATAGGTGAAGAAGATTGAGGACTAAGTCTTGGGACACACTGGCATTAAGAAGCCAGATAAGTAACCAGAAGCTAGTGAAGGAGTGTGAGCGGCGTCAGTGAGGTGTCAGAGGAGGCAAACCAGAATGCTGTGGCCTTTAAGCCAAGTGAAGAAAGCTTCAAGGGAAGAGAGATCAGCTGTGTCAAAAAAGAGTTTGGGTAAGATAAGGACTGATGAGTGACCACTAGAGGTGAATGGTACTTTGAGAAAGGCAGTTGCACTGGACGGATTGGTATGAGCCTGAGAGAATGGAAGGAGAGCAGCAAGTGGAGATAAGGAATGAAGACAACTCTTAAAGTTGTACCGTGAAGGGGTGTTGAGAAATGGTGCAGTAACTGGAGGGCTTGTGGGCTTCATTTGTGTATGTGTCTGCATGCGTGTGTGTGTAAAGTTGGAGAATTGCTAGTGGCATGCTTGATGCTGATGGGATTGAATTTAGTAGAGAGAAGAACCGATGACACAGGAGAGGGTAGGAATTTCTGGAGCAGTGTCTTTGAGGACATCTGAGTGGGAAGAATGAGATCAGATCTAATTACTGGCCAGTTTGGAAGCCTTATTAGGAGCAAGGGCAGTTGATCCAGAGTAACATGAGAGAAGGTAGAGAAGTAAATACATCGGCAGAGATTCAGGTTAGACGATATGTCTGGGTAAAATGGGGAACATTTTCATACTTATCTCATGATTTTTGTGAGTATTAAGTTTAATACTTTATAAAGGGATGATTACAGAACATAGTACCCAGTAAGCGTTGACTGAAATTGTTAAGTTTGTAATATTTATAAAGTTACAATGTGATTTGCATGACCAGCTTCTTTCAGTGTGTGACTAATACTCTGAAAATACTGGCTTTTCATTTGAGCCAGATGGCTCAGTCAGTAATTTCTAGTTATGCCATCTTTTTTTTTTTTTTTTTTTGTAAAGACACTGGGCACCAAAGGTGCTACTCACACAGAATATCAACTTAAAACTCACCCTGGAAAGACAAGATTTTCATAGTTCTAATCAGAAACATTGTAATTTTGTTATATTCATGTTATGGTTTTGAAGGTTTTGTTTTTTTTTTTTTTTTTTAAATACGTGAATTAAGGGGCCGGGTGTGGAAGGCCGAAATGGGAGGGTCACTTGAGACCAGGAGTTCAAGACCAGCCTGGTCAACATTGTGAGACCCCATCTCTATTTAAGAAAAAATAAAAAAAAATAGTATGTTGGGTATTAGTTTGTTCTCATGCTACTATAAAGAACTGCCCGAGACTGGATAATTTATAAAGGAAAGAGGTTTAATTCACAGTTCTGCATGGCTGGGGAGGCCTCTGGAAACTTACAATCATGGCAGAAAGGGAAGCAAACATCCTTCTTCAACATGGCGGCAGGAGAGAGAAGTGCAGTGCGAAGCGGGGAAAAGCACCTTATAAAACCATCAGATCTCGTGAGAACTCACTATCACGAGAACAGCATGGGTGAATGCCCCCATGATCTAATCACAGCCCATGAGGTCCCTCCCTCAACATGTAATTGTAGTTTTAGGACCAGTTGTAAAGTTAGTGCAGATAAAGTGGGAACATTAGAAGGAGAGTTGGAACCGGGAGATGCTTGGAAAATCTACTCAAACTCTCACTGGATTTAAGTATATTCCTATTTTGAAAATTCAGTAGCTATGTTCTCTAAGAACATCAGAACCTCAGTATCAGTTTAGGGCAAGACGGAGGATGCAAGGATGAAAGAGGGGATATAAATAAGTTTTATTAGGTTGGGCATGGTAGCTCATGCCTGTTACCCCAACATTTTGGGAGGCCAAGGTAGGAGGATCACTTGAGCCCAGGAATTTGAGACCAGCCTGGGCAACATAGGGGAGACCCTGTCTCTACAAACAGTTAAAAAAAGCCATATGCACCTGTGTTCCCAGCTAATCAGGAAGCTGAGGTGAGAGGATAGCTTGAGCCCACAGCCAGGGCTGCAGTGAGCTATGACTGCACCACTGCACTCCAGCCCGTGCAGCCCCAGGCTGAGAGAAGTGAGACTCCATCAAAAGAAGGAAAAGAAAAGAAAAAGGAAAAGAGAGAAGGAATACGTTTTATTGTTATTTTAGGAAAATTTGGCTTTGACTTTTTTTTTTTTTGAGATGCAGTTTTGCTCTTGTTGCCCAGGCTGGAGCGCAATGGCATGATCTCGGCTCACCGCAACCTCCACCTCCCGGGTTCAAGTGATTCTGTGGCCTCAGCCTCCCGAGTAGCTGGCATTACAGGCATGTGCCACCACCTGCCTAATTTTGTATTTTTAATAGAGGCATGGTTTTTCCATGTTGGTCAGGCTGGTCTCGAACTCCCAACCTCAGGTGATCCGCCCAAAAGAGTTAAGAGCTTGAGCCAGGCGCGGTGGCTCACGCCTGTAATCCCAGCACTTTGGGAGGCCAAGGCAGGTGGATCATCTGAGGGTAAGGAGTTTAAGACCAGCCTGGTCAACATGCTGAAACCCCGTCTCTACTAAATACAAAAAATTAGCCGATCGTGGTCGTGGGTGCCTGTAATCCCAGCTACTTGGGAGGCTGAGGCAGGAGAATTGCTTGAAGCCGGGAGTCGAAGGTTGCAGGGAGCCAAGATCGCACCACTGCACTCCAGCCTGGGCAACAAGAGTGAAATTCCGTCTCAAAAAAAAAAAATAGAGAAGCGCTTGGGTCTGAACCCACACATTGAGGCTCCAGCAATTAGGCACTTAACCTCTATGCTATGTGGCCTTTCTAAAATAAAATAATAGTAAATATAACCCAAGAAGAAACTTAAAAGGTGTCAATCTTCCACAAACTCAGGTTTAATCTCTTGATCTAACATGATGTTAATGTCGAAAAGAAAAAGCGTTCGTTGTTACTGTTGTTGAAAAATTTTCATAAAATGTAATATACATTCCTGATATTAAAAGGAAAGAATACCTGTAAAATAGAGGTGGATAATACCATTACTATGGTATTGTGACTGACTGAGAACTACTCCCGAGCGGTACCAGTCCCAGACATTTCCCCTGAGCAGGGAGTAGTGCTCGGTCAGTAGGCACTAGCACCGTCATTGTACAGGTCGTTAAGATACTTGCCCCTTCCTTGGTTATCTAGCCGCTGAAGGGATAATTATGTTTGGCACAAAGAGGATGGTGCTGCAGCAGAGCCTAGCTCTGGCATTTTTTCTGATTGATCGGCATCTATTCTATACCTGCTGTTAAATATTTTGACTCTCACTCCAGATCATCAAATTGTTTTGAGAGTAAATGAGTTGAAGCATGCATACTGCCTAGCTAGACCAGTGTCTGAGATAAATATAATACAGAGTTTGCTATTATAATTTAGAATTTTTATTGAGTATACTCTGCTGTCTATACACAGTTGGCTTAGGAAATGAATTGGGAAGCTTTTCTGTTTCATAGGATAGTTTAATAAAAGAATTACCTTTGAAATTACCTTTACTTACTATGAAAATGTCTGGGACTGGTATTTGGAGTTGAGGGGGGAGCTAACTGTGTAACTTATGCGAATCTTCGGAAGTTATTGGAGTGTTTTCTAATTCTGTTAGATGCTTTTGACAATTTATATTTTCCCAGAAAATCATCCATTGTATCTGTGTTTAAAATTTAGCAGCTTAGGATTTACTGGAAACATATTTTATACTTATTTTTATTTCTTCTCTATTATCTTACTTCCTTTTCAGTCCCTAATTTCATATAATTGTTTTTTTAGTCCAGCTAATAGTTTGTCTGTTTTTTTTCCCCTCCCATCAAAATATAGCGCCTAAGTTGTTTTCGTTTTTTTTTTTTTGAGATGGAGTCTCGCTCTGTCGCCTAGGCTGCAGTGCAGTAGCGCGATCTGAGCTCACTGCAACCTCTGCCTCCCAGGTTCAAGCAGTTCTCCTGCCTCAGCCTCCCCAGTAGCTGGGACTACAGGCACGTGCCAGCATGCCTGGCTAATTTTTTGTATTTTTAGTAGAGATGGGTTTTCACCATGTTAGCCAGGATGGTCTTGATCTCCTGACCTCGTGATCCAACCGCCTCAGCCTCCCAAAGTGCTGGAATTACAGGCATGAGCCACCGTTCCTGGCTGCTCCTAGGTTTTAGAATTAATTCTGCAGGCTTCTGTTATCTTACTTGAGTAACTTTGAATTCCCTTGTTCTTATTTTTAAATGTTTATTTTCTAACCTTGAGTTGAATGCTCATTTAATTCTTGCTCAGTTGAAGGTGTTTAGGCTGTGGCTCTCTTCCTCTGAGTATAGCTTTATTAGTGTACCAAAGATTTTTTTCTCTTCTTTTTATTTTTTCTTTTCTTTTTTTTTTTTTGAGACCGAGTTTCGCTCTTGTTGCCCAGGCTGGAGTGCAGTGGCGTGATTTCAGCTCATTGCAACCTCCACCTCCCGGGTTCAAGTGATCCTCCTGCCTCAGCCTTCCGAGTAGCTGGGATTACAGGCATGCGCCACCGCACCTGGCTAACATTTGTATTTTTAGTAGAGTCAGGGTTTCACCGTGTTGGCCAGGCTGGTTTCGAACCCCTGACCTCAGGTGATCCACCTGCCTCGACCTCCCAAAGTGCTGGGATTACAGGCGTGAGCCACTGCCCCCAGCCTTCTTTTTCCTTTTCTTTCTTTCTTTCTTTTCTTTTCTTTTTTTTTTTTTTACACAGATTAGAGTGTAGTGGCATGAACACGACTCATTGCATCCTTGACCTCCTGGGCTCAAGGGATCCTCCCACCTCAACCTCTCAAATAGCTAGGACTTCAGGCACGCGCCAGGATGCCCGGCTAACTTTTTTTATTGTGTGAGCCGCTAGGCCCAGTCGTACCAGAGATTTTTATATGGGCAGTTTTTATCATTGTTATTTTCTAGGTAATCTCTATTGATTTTGATTTACATTACTCCATTCAATTACTTGAAGTAATTTAAGGAGAGAGAGTACATAAATGTCAAGTCTACTGCATTAAGGGGAGTAGCTTAATTGTTTCATTGTCAGATTGTATAGACTATTTCTACTTTCCTGAAATTTTTGAGGTGTTAATGGCCTAAATTGATGATCAGTTTTTATAACTGTTGCATAGAGACTTGATCTCATTCTTTCACATGTTCAGCCATTTTGTCGTTTATGTATTTGATCTTTCAGGAAATGATACTCTTATATTCTTACTTCTGCCTAAAAGTTTTTCTTAGATTTCTTTGAAATTTTTGTTCTGGCTGGGTGCGGTGGCTCACATGTAATCCCAGCCTGGCCAAAATGATGAAACCTCCCCTCTACTAAAAATACAAAAATTAGCTGGGTGTGGTGGTGCATGCCTGTAATCCCAGCTACTTTGGAGGCTGAGGCAGGAGAATCACTTGAACCTGGGAGGTGGAGGTTGCAGTGAGCCTTGCACCATTGTACTTGAGCCTGGGCAACAGAGCAAGACCCTGTCTCAAAAAAAAAAGTTTTTGTTGTAACTATATATTATGAAAATTTTGGTATATATAGTTTTATAACATATCTTTATAGATTGTAATCTTGATCATTATAAAAAATGACCCTTTTCTGCCTCCTTTAATATTCTTTCAGTTTGAATTCAGCTGGTTTTGAAAGGGTGTTGATGCTTGCTATGTATGCTTTTATCTAACCTTTTACTTTAACTTCTCAAAGTCTCTATTTTAGATTTGTCTCTTGTAGACCCTTGTAGTTGGATAAAGGTTAGTCTTGACTCAATTTGAGATGCTTTTAATCATTTACATTAATGTTATATATTTTGCTTTGCTTATATAATATTAGTGTATTTGTTTTGTTGTCATCTATATGTTTGCTTTTGGTTTTCTTTCTTTTCTTTTCTTTTTGAGACAGTCTAGCTCTGTCGCCCAGGCTGGAGTGCAGTGGCATGATCTCGGGCTCACTGCAACCTCCACCTCCCGGGTTCAAGCGATTCTCCTGCCTCAGCCTCCCGAGTAGCTGGAATTACAGGCGCCTGCCACCATGCCCGGCTAATTTTTGTATTTTTAGTAGAGATGGGATTTCACCATGTTGGCCAGGCTGGTCTCGAACTCCTGACCTCAAGTGATCCTCCCGCCTTGGCCTCCCAAAGTGCTGGGATTATAGGTGAGAGCTACAGTGTCTGGCTTGGTTTTCTTCCTTTAAACTACATGGTTTGTTTTCTTTATTTGCTATCCCTTCTGTCTCATTTTGTAAGTTATATACTGTATTTCGTTATGTCTAAGATACCGTTGGTGGTTGTGTGCTTCGTTATTTTGTATACCATTAATACAGTTAAATGCTGTCAAAGAAACTATGACGTACCATTGATTGAAATATGCATGCTGATTTCAGATAGACAAAAATGTGAAAAAGGTACATCTTAGAATAGATTAAACATGGTAGTTTGTAGTTCTATGGGTATTATAAAGCTATAGCTTTAATATATTTAAATCTATTATGTTTATCAAATAGTTTTTTCAGGAGTGGTTGTTTGAGTGCTCTTATGTTCAAAAATGTCTGTTAGTGGCTTTCACAAGCAACGTGATGTTTTGGCTGGTTACAGAATTTTTGGGTTACGTTTCCCTTTCTCTTAATACCCAGCAGACACTATTCCATTATCTTCTGGCATCTAGGGTTACTCTAGAGAAGTCTGGGGCCAGCCTGACTGTTTTTTTCCCTTTGTAGGTGACCTACTTCTGCCTGAGTATTGCTAGAATTCTTTCTTTATCCTTGAAGTTCAGTAACTTCATCAGGATATAACTCGGTCTTGGTGTGATTCTCTTACATTTTCCTGTTAAATGGTAAGCCATTCAAACTGCAGATTCAGGAATATTTTCTTATACACCTTTTAATATGCATTCATTTTTATTTTTCTTTACTCAAGAAACATCAGTTTTATGATTGTTTATCTTCATTTCCTGTCTTCCATTTCATTACTTTTCTAAATGCTTCCTTTGTTCTTTTCTGCTGTGCTCGATGTGATTTTCTTGAGATTTTGTTTGATATCATGTTTGTTTTCATCAGTATCAGGTTGACTACTTCCTATATATGATGGGGTTTTCATTTTGCCAGTGGCTTCAGTACTTCATTCAATTTTATATATTTATGTCTGTGAGTTGCTCTTTCAACTTGTCTCATTTATTTCCTCTTTTAAAAAAAACTTTTACTTAACAGTAAAAACAGGTAAAACCACCTGTAATCCCAGCACTTTGGGATGCTGAGGCGGGTGGATCAGTTGAGGTCAGGAGTTTGAGACCAGCCTGGCCAACATGGTGAAAGCTGTCTCTACTAAAAATACAAAAATTAGCCCGGCGTGTTGGTGGGCGCCTGTAATCCTAGCTACTCGGGAGGCTGAGGCAGGAGAATCCGTTTGAACTGGGGAGGCAGAAGTTGCAGTGAGCTGAGATTGTGCCACTGCACTCCAGCTTGGGCGACAGAGACTCCCTCTCAAAAACAAACAAACAAACAGGTAAAACCACATTGTTTTTGAGAAGATGGGTTAAAACCAGTTACAAGTGACTAATATTAAAATTTACTCTCTAAGAAGTGATGAGTAAAATGGTTTTATCAAGTCTTGTGTTTTATTAATGGCATGAAATATAGAAAAGCAGGCTTAGAGATACTATTTTTTACAGTTGGATAAACTTTTGTACACAGTAGAAATCTGATTTTGCCATGTGTTTTTTTGTTTATGAGGGAGAAGTGTTCAATGACTTTTTCCCAAAGATTTTTTTTTTTCATTCAGTGAATTACAAAATGTGCTAGAAAAATATAATGGAAATGTACCTTGCATGGTGGCTTATGCCTGTAATCCCAGCACTTTAGAAGGCCAAAGCAGGTGGATGGCTTGAGCCTAGGAGCCTAGGCTGCAGTGAGCCATGATCATGCCATTGCACTCCAGCCTGGGCAACAGAGTGAGACCCTGTCAAAAAAAAAAAACCATGGAAATTATAACTGACATGTTCTGCCATTCACGTGCCACAATTCAAGACCTGCTATGTGATTTTCTCCTGAATGCCAGTCTTTGTTTTCTTCTGAGGAAATGAAGGTGATCAGTGATAAGCCCCCTGGTCTTCATTCAGGGTTGAAGGGAATAGTGAAAACTGTGAACGTGTACAACTTGTGGTTACTAAGAGTGAGACTTTGACTGCGAATTAGGCAAAAGGTGTAAGTCTTTTACTTTTTTTTTTTGAGACGGAGTCTCACTGTGTCACCCAGGCTGGAGTGCAGTGGTGCAATCTCGGCTCACTGCAACCTCTGCCTCCTGGGTTCGAGATTCCCCTGCCTCAGCCTCCCCAGTAGCTGGGACTACAGGTGCGTGCCACCACACCCATCTAATTTTTTGTATTTTTAGTAGAGACGGGGTTTCACTGTGTTAGACAGGATGGTCTCGATCTCCTGACCCTGTGATCCACCCGCCTCAGCCTCCCAAAGTGCTGGGATTACAGGTGTGAGCCACCACACCTGGCCAGCGCCCAGCTAATTTTTGTATTTTTAGTAGAGATGGGGTTTCTCCATGTTGGCCAGGCTGGTGTCGAATTTCTGACCTCAGGTGATCTGCCTGCCTCGACCTCCCAAGTGCTGGGATCACAGACAGAGCCACCGTGCCCGGCCCGTCTTTTACATTTTACATATTTTAGCTGTTTAGGGAACAGCTTCGCCCGTAAGTTTTTTTCTTCTCTTCTTTTAAAATGATGGCTGAGATACACACATTCTTTACATTACTTTTGATGTGAACGAAGGTCATTTCAGTAGACTTGCACATTTAGAGTATGCCAGCAACTTACTCAATATTGCGATAGGTGGAATTTACGGTCTGGCGTCTGAATTGTAGCTTATCCTCAACCATCAAAATTCCTACCCAAATTTCTTGTGTTCCAAACTTAAGAATTGTTGTGTTTCATTGCCAATAACATGGCTTTTTCCTAAAGTGATACATATTTTTAAGTAATTCATTTCTTGGGCAAATATTTACTGCCAGAGACTGTCACAGGTCCTGGGGCTATATCAGTAAATAAACAAAAACCCTTGTTCTTATAGAGCTTGCTTTGTAGTTAGGGTAGGGGAGAGAAGAATTAATAGAAAGTGTAGAGTGCTGTGTGGAAACTAGAACAGGGAAAGAGGATAAAATAAGGAGTGTGTAAGGGGGTGGGGTTTCATTAAAAATAGGGTGACAGTGGACCGAGGAACTCAGGTGAATGAGTGAATCATGCAGAGGTTAGGTGAGGCAAGCACAAGGGCCCTGAAATGGGGCTGACCTGAACGCTGGAGGGAGGTGGCAGAGCGGTTAGCTGAAGGTTGGAGAGAGATGCTGGTTAAAGCCCCTGAACGCTGGAGGGAGGTGGCACAGCACTTAGCTGAAGGTTGGAGAGAGATGCTGGTTAAAGCCCCTGCGGTGGCAGAGCGGTTAGCTGAAGGTTGGAGAGAGATGCTGGTTAATTCTGAAGGACCCTATAGGCCATCACACAGGCCATTGCTCTGAGTGAGAATGGGAAGCTGTTGGTATAGTGACATGATGTGACTCACATTTTTCCAGGATTACTTCTGCCTGCTGGGTTGAGAGTAGATACAATAGGGAAGGTATTTTCCATAGTACCCCAGCACATGCATTTTTATTAAACATTTGTGGCTGAAATGAAAGCTTCACCAACAATAACCCTATTTTATTTTTTGTTTCTGTTAGGAAAAATGAGTGCTGGTTATGTTCCACTAGATCTATTTCATGACTGTGTGACTTACGGTTGAAAAACACTGCCAAATAGAATATAGCCTCTGACTTAGTGGACAAGAAGTAAAATTGAGGTTTGTGTATGAAAGCAAAGTGAACACAATGTAAAATAAAAAAAGAATAAAAACTTAAAAATCAACATTATGTATATGTATATATACTTAGCTTTAAAAAACCCAAATAATCAAATACCAGTGATTCAAGAGGCCTAATAGTGAACAATGCATTCAGTGAAGGATAATGAAGAATTCCCCAGAGGCAACTGCTTTTTAAAACCTTTTAGGTTCAGATCTCCTGGGGGCTTAACTCCATGCTTCTAAATAATATATTTATAGTGTTTATGTTTTGGTTTATCAACTTTAGACATTCTCTGTTGACTTCTTGCTATGACAGATGTTTTCAGTCCCACTTCTCACTACTGATCTCCCTCGTACGACGGTCACTGAACTGGCGCCTCTCTGGGGTTCTGCCCAGAAGATTAGCCTTCCTCCTTCGCTGCAGCTCCTCTGTGAGTATTCTGCTCTCTGCTCCCTCCACTCTGCTTACTCAGTTCACGTTCTTCCATCCGTTTTCATCTTTCAGAGCCATGGGCAATCCACCTGGTCTTTTTAATATACTTTAAATTAAAAAGTTATTTTTTAATTTCTTTAGAAAAATTTATTTAACTTCTTAGGAGGGAAGAGGAGATAAGCACATGTGCCCGCACTGACACCTTGAACTAGAAGACACGATTAGGCCAAAGCTTTTTGTTGTCAAAAGTGTGTAGTGTATGTGTTTTAAGAGTTAGATATATTCAGAATATCTTATCTTTTAAAAATTGTAAATATTTCCCCATGTCCTGAAATATTCTTGTAAAGTATTTTAAATAGATGCATAGCATTCCTTCATATGCTGCTACTATCATATTCCCCACATCTTGACTTCTGGGTTTTCAAATTATAGTTGTAAACCACTTAAATTATAATTAGTGCTTCTGTGGATTTTCCTTATGAAAACATTTATACATAATCCTTGATTATTTCTCTTCGGATAAATTTCTGGTCATTTCTTAGTTAAGGAAAATAAATATTTTTGAGGTTCTTCATAAATATTACTGATTGCCTTCTAGAAAGGCTTTGCTAATTTGTATTTCCACTATTAACTGTATCAAAGTGCCACTTTTTATTGTGTTCTTCATACCACCAGGAACTTTAAAAAATGTTTGATTCTGCTAGGTAAAAAGAAAATTATTTTAAAAATTCCCAAGAAAGGTGAACACCTTGACAGTTTGGAATGTGTGTGTGTGTGTGTGTGTGTGTGTGTGTGGTTTTAAAGGTTTATAAGAGTAATTATTTGCCTTTTAATTTTTTATGGCTATTTTGGCATTTAGAAATTTTATTTTTCTGGCCAGGGCACAGTGGCTCATCATGCCTGTAATCCCAGCACTTTGGGAGGCCAAGGTGGGTAGATCTGTTGAGGTCAGGAGTTTGAAACCAGCCTGGCCAACATGGTGAAACCCCGTCTCTAATTAATAAATAAATAAATAAAATATATTTTATTTATTTGAGATGGAGTTTCACTCTTGTTGTCCAGGCTGGAGCGCAATGGTGCGATCTTGGCTCACCGCAACCTCCGCCTCCTGGGTTCAAGCAATTCTCCTGCCTCAGCCTCCCAAGCAGCTGGGATTACAGGCATGTGCCACCATGCCTGGCTAATTTTGTATTTTTACTAGAGACAGGGTTTCTCCATGTTGGTCAGGTTAGCCTCGAACTCCTGACCTCAGGTGATCCGCCCACCTTGGCCTCCCAAAGTGCTGGGATTACAGGCATGAGCCACCGCGACTGGCTGAAATTTTATTTTTTTAAAATCATCCAGCTAAGTAGGCTTTCCCATTTATTTATTTTTTGACACTTAGAGTAATGTTTCCCATTCCTAAAATCAAATAAGAGTATGCAAAATGTGAAGATAGCTTTGAATTTGGAGTGGCGTATGGAAAAGTGCCTGGGAGAAACTTGGCGGCAGTTGATTTAGAAACAATTAGGCTTTGGCTTGTGTTAAAAATCTGTGGATCATTTAGATTTTCGATTGTTGCTGTCCCCATGTCTCCTGTTGCCCCATACTATAGATGGTGTTAAATTGTTAGACACTTCCATGAATGTACTTCATACATGTAAAACTTCGTAGATGCATGACTCATGGCTCTGGGTGGTCTAGCTAAACTAGTCTTTTACGTCATACGTGTAAAACTTTGTAGATGCAATAACTCATGGCTCTGGGTAGTCTAGCTAAGCTAGTCTTTCCACTCAAAGAGCACGATACTTAAGCTTTCTCCTGGTGAGTCATGAATTGTCATCAGGGAATTTCTCACTGTTTGGCTTAATTCGATTAGGAACTGCTACTGGTGATAGTTTAGTCCTTATTTAGTTTTAGTCTAAGAGAACCTTACTGACGTTACTATAAATCTAAAAAAAAAAAGCATACCTTTAAAAAAGCCTAATGGCAATGGACTAGTCAGGATAGTAAGAAAAAGTTATACTGGAAAGAGAGAGATGGTTTATGAATTGGTTACAAAAAATACATCAGTATTATTTTGAAGACAACCCTGATTTCAGTCATGGTTGAAATCCTTAACCAACCACAAAAATGTCTTACATTTTAAATATATTAAAGTCCTTAAATTATGGAAATAGTGTCTTCTAAGAAGTTGTTTAATAGTGGAAAGAAGAGTCTCAGTCTCTTTTTTTTTTTTGAGACAGAGTCTCATTCACCCAGGCTGGAGTGCAGTGGTGCCATCTCAGCTCACTGCAACCTCTACCTCCTGGGATCAAGCGATCCTCCTGCCTCAGCCTCCCCAGTAGTTGAGACCACAGACACATGCCACCATGCCCGGCTAATTTTTTTTTTGAGACAGAATCTCGCTCTGTCACCCAGGCTGGAGTGCAATGGTGCGATCTCTGCTCACTGCAACCTCCGCCTCCCAGGTTCAAGCAGTTCTCCTGCCTCAGCCTCTGGAGTAGCTGAGACTACAGGCACACTCCACCACGCCTGACTCATTTTTTGTATTTTTGTAGAGACGGGGTTTCACCATGTTGCCCAGGCTGGTCTTGAACTCCTGAGCTCAGGCAATCCGCCTGCCTCGGCCTTCCAAAGTGCTAGGATTACAGAAGTGTCTTTTTTTTTTTTTTTTTTTTTTCTTTTTGAGACGGAGTCTCTCTCTGTCACCCAGGCTGGAGTGCATGGCGCGATCTCTGCTCACTGAAGCTCCACCTCCCGGGTTCACGCCATTCTCCTGCCTCAGCCTCCTGAGTAGCTGGGACTACAGGCGTCCGCCACCACGCCTGGCTAATTTTTTGTATCCTTGGCTAATTCTTTGTATTTTTAGTAGAGACGGAGTTTCACCATGTTAGCCAGGATGGTCTTGATCTCCTGACCTCGTGATCTGCCCGCCCCGGCCTCCCAAAGTGCGGGGATTACAGGCGTGAGCCACCGCGCCCCGCCCACCATTGTCATGTTGTTAGTGCAGCACAGAAGCCCATCAAGTGGCAGTCAATAATTTCCTAATTTGTTTTTGAAAAAAACTTAGCTACATTCCAATTTTCTACGTGCTTAGGTTTCTTTTATAAGTTTGAATAAATGTATAAATAACTTCAGGGTTGTTTTATGGGTTCTTGGTACCTCACACAGATAAACTTGTAAATGGAATAAGATGTAGAGGAATGCAAAAGAAGCTAAGGAGCAAGCATGACAGCATCCTCTTATTTTATCGCCTTCTCCTCTGCAGTAGTCAGGGTACAGGGCACTGAATTCAGATCAAAATCATAGACTTTACTGTATCTCTTGCTGGCGAAAATATTTAAGTTATCTGACATTTACTAGGTCTATTAAATCACCCAAGGGAAGAACTTTTTTTGTATGCATACGGTAGTAAAGGGCTTTTGCAAAACCAGTATGTTGATATTTTGGACAACATAAAACAATATACACCTTGTACATTTACTTTAAAAATTAACTTGTGAAAAGCATTTCTCATTTTGTTTACTTAGTTTTTAAATAAAGCCAGACTAGTTTAGCTTAATATATGGGTTCTCAGCTGGGAGAACCAGATTAACCATCATTCTAGTCAAGGCTTTGAGTTTCCATTCTCTGAAATGATGACTTGCAACTTGGTGGAATTTGATATTCTTTCCAAAACTAAGAAATTTTGGTGATCCATTCGGAGTTATTTCTGCTCTCTTTCTTTAACAGTGAGACTGAGAGTATCGGTCTACTTGCACTGCACATGGGCCAAAATGGGCCTTTCACAGGAGAAGCTCTACACAAAGGAAAGGAGAAAGGGTTCCTGCAGAAGGAAGAGAAGGGCAGATTTGTTCTCAGAGGTCACTTATGTTAAGGCAAGGATGGCAGATGTCTCATCATGGATTTATTTGGCGGGTGTGGCTGCTGAGTACTGTATTGGGAGGAATCCTAAGTACGTGATAGGTTATTAATGGTGCTGTCTTTGGGTGTGGGCCACGTCGAAGGCTTGAGGGTGATTCAGAGTAATGACACAGTCCGTCTGTATTTTAGGACCTGCCACACAAGGAGGTAGGAATATGCTTGGCTTCCATTTGATGTGTCCCACACTTCTGATATGTATATTGGACTTTTTAACTACTCCATTCTACTCTTCCCCCTTCTCACTACTGTACTTAACTAAGTCTTAATAAACAAACACACAAACCGGTAACTCCTCATCCCTCTTTATCCTGAGCCCCTGGCAACCCCCATTCTATTTTCTCTCTCTGAGTTTGACTTCTCAAGGTATTTTCTTTTCTTTTTCTGTTTCTTTTATTTGTGACAGTCTCGCTCTGTTGCCCAGGCTGGGGTGCAGTGGTGTGATCTTGGCTCAGTACAACCTCTGCTTCCCGGTTCCAAGCGAATCTCCTGCCTCGGCCTCCCAAGTAGCTGGATTAGGGGTGCCCGCCACTACGCCACTACGGCTATTTTTGTATTTTTGTATTTTTTTTGAGACAGAGTCTTGCTCTGTCACCCAGGCTGGAGTGCAGTGGCGCGATCTCGGCTCACTGCAACCTCTGCCTCCCAGGTTGAAGCGATTCTTCCTGCCTCAGCCTCCCGAGTAGCTGGGATTAACAGGCATGAGCCACCATGCCTGGCTAATTTTGTATTTTTGGTAGAGACGGGGTTTTGCCATGTTGGTCAGGCTGGCCTCGAACTTCTGAACTCAGGTGATCCACCTGCCTCGGCCTCCCAAAGTACTGGGATTACAGGCGTGAGCCACCGTGCCTGGCCAATTTTTGTATTTTAGTAGAGACGTGGTTTTGCCATGTTGGCCTGGCTGGTTTCAAACTCCTGACCTCAGGTGATCTGCCCACCTTGGCCTCCCAAGTGCTGGGATTACAGGTGTGAGCCACTGCACCTGGCTGCAAGGTATTTTCATGTAAGTGGACTCATACAATATTTATCCTTTTGTATCTGGCTTATTGCACTTGGCATAATATTTTCAAGTTCATTCATGTTGTAGAATGTATCATAATTTCATTCCTTTTTAAAGCTGAGTAACATCCTGTTGTATGTATATACTGCACATTTTGTTTATCCATTCATCTGTTGGTTGACAATTGGGTTGTTTCCACGTTTTGACTGTTGTGAATAATGCTGCTTTGAACATTGGTGTACAAACATCTGTTTGACCCCCTGCTTTAATTCTTTTGCATATATAACCAGAAGTGAAATTGCTGGATCATATGGTAATTCTAAGTTTAATATTTTGAGGACATGCCATGCCGCCTTTCACAATGGTTGCATCCTCTTACATTCCCATTAGCAATGCATGGGGTTCTAATTTCTCTACATTCTTGTCAACACTTGTCATTTTCTGTGTGTGTGTTTAATAGCAATTCTAATTGGTGTGAAGTGGTATCTCATTGTGGTTTTGAATTTCTTCTATTATTAGTGATATTGAGCATCTTTGCATTGTGCTTGTTGACCAGACATCTTTTTATCTTTGGAGAAATGCCTATTCAAGTCATTTGCCCATTTTTGCATTGGTTTTCTTGTTGTTATTGAGTTGTATGAGTTCTTTTTGTATTCTGGATATTAATCCTTTATCAGATAGGTGATTTACAATATTTTTCCCATTTTTTTGGGGGTTGCTTTTGATGAACTAAAGTTTTAAATTTTGATCCAGATCATTTATTTTTTCTTTTGTCTCTATTGCTCTTGGTGTCATGTCCAAGAGTTTGTTGCTAAATCCAATGTCTTGAAGATTTTCTCTTATTTTTTCGCCTGAGAGTTTTAAAGTTTTAGCTCTTACGTTTAAGTTTTCAGTTCATTTAGAGTTATTTTTTGCATATCATGTAAGGAAAGAATCCACCTTCATTCTTTTGCTTATGGATACCCAGTTTCCCTAGTGTTGTTTATTGAAAGATTTTCTTTCCTCATTGAGCGGTCTAGTCAACCTTGTTGAAAATCAGTTGGCCATATATGCAAGGGTTTTATTTCTAGGCTCTTATTTTGTTTCATTGGTGTATATTATGTCTGTCTTTTTGCCAATACCACAGTGTTTTGATTATTGTCGTTTTGTAGTAAGCCTTGGAATCAGGACATGTGAGTTCTCCAACTTTGTTCTTGTTTTCAAGAATGTTTCGGCAATTTGGGGTGTGAATTTTAGGATGGGTTTTCCAAAAGTTGTTGGGATTTTGATACAGGGATTACATTGTATTTGTAAATTGCTTTGGGTGGATTTTTTTGTGTTTGAGGAAAAGATTCAGTTGTTTAGAAGTCTCTTAAGCTCTCTTTATTTTACTTTTGTCTTTCCAGCATATGTCTCTTTCATATATTCACTTATACAGAATAGTGTACATATGTGTGATACATGCAATGTAAATATGTACAATTTTAAGAGTTATTTAAAAACAAAAACCATGTAACTGCTAGCAGGTGAAGAAATAGTTGGTTGAAGTTTTAAAACTACTGAAATAGAGTTATGACTGATGGACTACATTGACACGTCATCACCCACAATCCCATCATTTATATCAGGGTTCACTTTTGGTATTGTACATTCTATGGGTTTAGAGAAATATTTGACGTGTATCTTACCATTATAGTATCATACAGAATACTTTGATGGCCCTAAGAATCCTCTTCAGATTGAATTTTTGAAGATTTTAAACTACTTTTTTTTTTTGTTTTTTGTTTTTTTTGTTTGTTTGGTTGGTTTTTTTGAGACGGAGTCTCGCTCTGTCCCCCAGGCTGGAGTGCAGTGGCGCGATCTTGGCTCACTGCAAGCTTTGCCTCCTGGGTTCACGCCGTTCTCCTGCCTCAGCCTCCCGAGTAGCTGGGACTACAGAAGCCTGCCACCACGCCCGGCTAATTTTTTGTATTTTCAGTAGAGACGTGGTTTCACTGTGTTAGCCAGGATGGTCTCGATCTCCTGACCTCGTGATCCGCCCATCTTGGCCTCCCAAAATGCTGGGATTACGGGCGTGAGCCACCGCGCCCGGCCTTAAACTAGTTGTTAAATAGAGTATCCTATTCAACATTGTGGATTTTTCTAATTATTTTCTCAAGAAATCATTTAACTGGCTGGACATGGTGGCTCATGCCTGTGATCCCAGCATTTTGGGAGGCTGAGTTGGGAGGATCACTTGAATCCAGCAGTTTGAGACCAGCCTGGACAATATAGTGAGACCCCTATCTCACTTTATAAATAAAGCAATTGTTTCACTTATTTCCACATCCCCTAGATTTCCTGCAAACTGTAGCAGTACTATCTAATAGAAACATGGGAACCACACATGAAAGCCTAATGTGTGATTTTAAAATTGTAACCACATTTAGAAATGTAAAAAGATAGGTAAAATTCATTTTAATAATTCATTTAACTCAATATACCCAAAATATAATTTCAAGATGGAATCAGCATAACTTTTTTCTCACAAAGTCTTCAAAAATCCAGTTTATATTTTACATTTGCAGCACATGTTAAGTAAGACTAGCCACTTCTTAGGTGCTCAGTAGCCACATGCGACTAGTGGCTATTATATTAGAAAGTGCAGGTCTAACCTAAGAAGCTTGATTTGATTCAGTGTAAACATTTTGGGGGAGGGGCAAGAGTATGTCATAGATGAAGCTTGTGTATACCATTTTGCATCAAATAAGAAGATACACATTCTTGGGTTAATGGTTCTAAATTCGAACAATTATTTGGTGATTGCCAGATTTCTCCGTTGCGAAGATGCATTATCTCTTTTTACTGGTGAGTAATCTGTGGGGTGATGCTTGGGCATCATATTCTGTTCTCCAGTGACCTTTTCACTTAATGGTTTTAGCATCCATTGATCATCCTTGCCTGGATTATTACATTAAGGGTTGCAAATGAAATGCTCTAAATATATCTATGTAACAAATTTCCACCCCTTTCTTCCATTATATAAAGCATTAAAAATACTAGTTACTGGCCAGGTGCAGTGGCTCACACCTGTAATCCCAGGACTTTGGGAGGCCGAGGTGGGCAGATTGCTTGAGCCCACTTCGAGACCATGATGCCCATGGTGAAACCCTGCCTCTACAAAAAATATAAAAATGAATTGGGCATGGTGCCATGTACCTATAGACCCAGCTACTCAGGAGGCTCGGGAGGATTGCCTGAGTCCAGGAGGTCAAGGCTTTAGTGAACTGTGATTGTGCCACTGCACTCCAGCCTGGGCGACAAAGCTGTTCTCTCAGCCCAGTCTCCTTAGTAAGATCTAATAATTTTTCCTTTGGGAGATGACTTTCTCTAAACTTTGGAGGTCAGCAATAAATTGAAAGGGACTAGTTTCTTATCTGATTAATTCATTTTCATTTTGATGAATTCGTATGCCTTCTTAGGTTCTTCCTTAAAATCCTTAATTAAAGGAGTTTTGTCTTCATCATCATCCTGCATCAGAAACGGCATCAGTAATTGATATTTAATCTCATAGGTTGTGATGAGTCCTTACTTTTGTTTTACAGGTTGCTCTTAAGTATTGTTGGGTTTTCAGAGTATATCAGCAAAGGCTTTAGCTTAACATCGCTCAATTTTTTAAATATAAAAGCAATGTTAGCCTGACACGTTTTCTTTTTAAATTTCTTACCAAAGCACAAGATGGCATTCTTTAAGAAAGGTCTATTTTTGTCAGTTATAAATTTGCTTTCCAATATTTCTCCTTTATTAATAGTTTTCTGCAATTCATTGGGGGAAAGTTTGTTGCAGTCTCGCTATCAGCAGAAGCTAATTTATTTATCAGTGATATTTAATGTTATGCATTTATGTACTGTTCTTAAACCTCTCAAACAATTCAGGGCTTGCTTTGCAACTGAGCTGCTCACCAAATTCTCCTGTTTCTCTCCTTTCACCTCCATCACTTCGGAGATATGAAATGCACATTGCTGTTGCCACAGTGCTCGGTGGTTCCATGCTGCTGGTGGTTATACATTTTTGTATGAAGTATTACCGTAACTGTTAGACATCAACATTGCCTTCCATTTGTATTTCTGTTGCATAGAAACAGTCTTATGTGTGATACAGGGGATATACTTAAAGTCAGGGGCTCAGCTTTTGGTTCCCTTGCCTTTAAATAAATGCATTACTTCCAATTTTTTCTTTCAGTGTTTGTACTTTCCTAGGCCTCTTACATAGGTTCACCTGTATTTTCCCAGGACACCCCATTTTCTTAGAAGCCATTTTTACTTAATGTGGAGAAGATCATGTACAAGATGCCTTTCAGTAGAAGTTATATTTCATGCACAACATTTCTGATCATGCAGCAGGGCTCTCTTCTTTTGCTAATGTGATTATAAGGAGAAGAAGCACATACAAATAAATAGTTATTTGAATTAGAGAAATATAATCTCCTAATGCCATCTTAGGGAAGAGTTTGAGGAGGAGTTCAAGGCATGATAGGAAGATACAACAGAGGGTGAGTTAGTGTCAGCAGATCACAGCTACTTTGACATAATCACACCTGTTGTTCCCCTTTGGAAGAAATCTTGGATTGGACCTGGCATGGTCTGCTGCTTACATTATTCTTTCTTTCTTATGTCAAGAAGTGGGTGGAGACTACTTAGAGGAATGAGGAATCAACACCATCTTAATATGTGTTTGTGAGTAGAACATCTTGTATTTGTATTACCTGTTCCAGTTTTTAACTTTGTGCATTTTATGTGAATCCACTTCTTATACTTCCATTAAAAGTAGTTTAATACTTGGTCATATGTTAGAAACCTGTCATTCAGATTGTTGCATTTCAAAATGTAGACAAAGCTGTCATTCTGACTTGTTTGGCTTTTGAGTTTCATACCACACTTAGTCCAATCAAAATATAAAAAAGAAAAATTATGTTGCTAATTTTCAAATTTCAAACTTTTGCTTTAATTATAATAAACTTTATAGACACACATTTGAATCGCACACTAATAGCCTAGGAAAATTAGGGGTTTAAATGTAAATATTGCCTTCATCCCTTAGACTCTAAGTAATAGCAACAAACATTGGGCAAATTGGCTGGGTTCACCTGTAATCCCGGCACTTGGGTGGGCAGGGTTGGGGGGCGAGCTCAGGAGTTCAAGACCAGTCTGGGCAACGTAGGAAGACCTTGTCTCTACCAAAAATACAAAAAAAAGACAGACATGGTGGTTTGTGCCTGTGGTCCCAGCTACTCAGGAGGCTGAGGTGGGAGGATTGCTTGAGCCCAGGAGGCGGAGGTTGCAGTGAGCCATGAACACACTACTGCGCTCCAGCCTGGGCCACAGAGTGAAACTCTGTCTCCAAAAAAAGAAAGAAGGCCACAATGCTTAAAAAGCCCATCCAAATAATCAGAAAAAAGAGAATCACTCAATGTAAAAAAAACGGGGTGGGGGAATAAAAATATGTAAATGCACCAAAGATAAATTGCCAGTGGCAGAAGGATGCCCAGTGTTAGCCAGCAGTAAAAGTACCCAGTGTTAGCAAGGCTGTAGGGAAATAGTTGCCTACAGTGTTTCTGGGATAATACATTGAAGTAAACATTTTGTGGCTTGATATATATGTTCCTTTGACTTACAGTTCAGTTTATAGTTTATATTCTAGATATACTTCCACAGATGTACAAGGAGAGTGCAAAGTATTCTTTTTAAATTAATTTTTTTTTAAGATGGGGTCTTCCTCTATTGTTCAGGCTGGAGTGCCATGGTGCGATCATAGCTCACTGCAGCCTCAGACTCTCCTGGGCTCAAGAGATTTTCCCTCTTCATCCCCCAGAACAGTTGGGGCTACAGGTTCACACCGCCTGGCAATGGCAGCATTGTTTTTTCTTTTTATTTATTTTTAAAAAGACTTTTAAATATTCATAATTTCTTTTTTTTACTTTTTGTTTTTTTCACTCCTCTCAGCTCATACCTAGGCAGCATTATTTATATTTGAGGGGGAAAACGAAAAGAGGTATGGTGGTGGGAACGAGTTATCTAGTGTTCAGACTATGCTAAGTGGCCATCAGTTATACAAGGATGATTCCATTTCTGTATAGTATATGGTGGTGTAGCCTAAGTCTGAAAGAATACACAGCAAATTGTTAGCAGTGGTTGTCTTTGGAGAGCAAGAAGGTAGTGTCTAATGCCTTCTATTTTATTTTCCTATGTTACTTTAGGATACATGGCCTTTTTTCATAATTTAAAAAATCAAAGTACATAAAAGAAAGTTGAAAATATTCTACTACTTAGTAATAACAACCACCACCTACAGATGTCTCCCAACGTTGGGCATCCTTGCATCCACCTTTCAGTGCATGCATGCGGGCTGAAATCTGAGGTTGTAATAGATGTGCCATTTATATACTTTAAGTTGCAAGTTGCATATGAATGACAACCCAGCTAAGGTAATATTGAAGAAATTATTGACCTATAGATAGACATTTATCGCAAGAAGAGATTAATTTCTAAAAGAGTCCTAAAGTTGAGAGAAGAAAATCTATAAAAACCTCTAAATAGTTTTGAGACTCTTGATAGAACCCACTGACTTCCTGATGTCCAGGATGAGGGAATAAACACATATGTATTCCTTAGTACCTCTCTCCCTTTCCCTCCATTCCCTTCCCATTTTCTAATCATAAATATAGATATATTTAGTAATTGGTTATTCTTTTTTAACATAGAAATCCTGATAATGTAAAATTACGACAATACAGAAAATAACAATGTAAAATCCTGACAATGTAAATTTATATATAAATCCTGATAATGTAAAAATAGGACCAATGGCAACAAGAAAATAATACACACACACACACACGTGTGCCACTTGGCAATGACAGCATATATTATTAAATATATATATATAAAAGCTTATAGCATTCATGGTGGTTTGGTTTTATTTATGCATTTACATGGGGTTGGTAACTACACTGGTCCCTTTCACCTGCGTTTTTCTGTTACTGAATTCTTTATTTTGATTGATTTCGCAGCATTTAATTCAAAAAGTACCATTTCTTAAGTCCTTAAAGTTTACAATACATGTAAATGTGTATTACCATCTTATTTGGACTTCCTGTTTGGGCTTCTCTCTCTCTCTTTTTTTTTTTTCGACACAGGTGCCTAGGCTGGAGTGCAGCAGCATGCTTACAGCTCACTGCAGCCTCGACCTCCTGGGCTCAAGTGATCTGCCCACCTTAGCCTCCTGAGTGGCTGGCACCACAGGCGCTTGCCGCCATGTCCAGCTAATTTTTGTATTTTTTGTAGAGGTGGTGTCTCCCTGTGTTGTCCAGGCTGGTCTTGAACTCCTGGGTTCAAGCATCTACTTGCCTGGGCCTCCCAAAGTGCTGAGATTACAGGCATGAGCCACCATGCCTGGCTGCATTTCTCATTCTTTTTATCACATTCTTCTTCAGGATTCCGTATTTCTTCACGTCACTGTTACTTACCTACAATGAGTATTGTGGAGAAATCTGAGGCTAACCTGGTTGGTTCCACCCACCCACCTATACTGGACTTGTTTTTTCCCTTCCTGAATATCCTTGATATTATTTAACTTTAAAGTTCAGTGCCTCATTTGACAGATGTTTTATTGTTTATTCTGTACCAGTTTTTTCTGAGTTGTGGGATATGTTTTCAATCTGTATATTTATTATTATAGAAAGCTTTATAGATTTATGACATTTTAATATTCTGATCTCTTCAGGAATGCCAGTTTAACTTATGTAAATCTCCTTTGTTTATTATCTTTACTCTTTAAAAATAACTATTTATCTTTTCATTAGAAGTATGATTTCTGAAAGTTATGACCATGATTTGTTTTTAGTCTGTTTTTCACTTTCCTTTAAGGTCTCCTGTTGCTTTATAATGTTTTCTTTCTGGTCTTCTTTAAAAATATGTTTCTGTAATTTCTTTGAGACTGTTTTTCTGAAGTCTTTCTGGTTTTTTATATGTATTATTTGGTGGTTGAAATGAACTTAAAGTGAATTGGAAATTCAAGAATCTCATGACTGTGCTTGCTTCCTTCAGCAGCAGCATGCTTACGACTCACTGCAGCCTGAGAATCACTTTTTTGCCCCGTATAATGTGGGGAAGGTAAAAGGACAGTTGAGAACCACTGGTGTATTCGAGGGGAAACTGATTAGGGACCAACTGGGATGTGAACTTAAAAATAGGGCTTTACACATGAAGAAGGTGGCATTCTTAGTTGGAAGTGACAGGAATTCAACTAAAATAAATTTAGACAAAAAGGAAAACTGACTTCTAACTAAGTTTATAGAAGGGCAGGAGTAGTACCAGGTGTAAGAAATCAAAGATCTGTTTGGATTTCTTGTTGCTTATTCTTCGTTTTGGCTTCATTCTCCTTGAGACTTGAATTGCGGCTATTGGCAGCTCTCAGGCCTTTATGGCACAGCTTCCCAACTCTGAAAAACCACTCCCTCCTGTGGCCTTGGGGTACCGGGGGCCTTGTTTGGCAGTCCTACTAGAAACATAGTTGGGCGTGAGGTTTGAAGCTGGGTAGTATTTTCCAAAAGAAATAATTCAGGTATGGGCTTGTTCTCAGGATTCTGAAGAATACAGACGTATTCCTTTTATGTCCTGTAGCCTAATTAATGAGCAATTTTAAAGGAAGAAAATGGACAACTAACATTTATTGTACCTTAAGCTGGGTCAGACTTTCGCATATACAATATCTTCTCCGTGTTGCAACGTTACCAAGGGCTTTACCATCCTTTACTGATAAGGAAAATGAGACTCAAAAAATAGAAATGATCTGTTTAAGTTGCCCAGGCTAGTAATACATAATATCATATGCTGTGCCCAAATTTTCCATTGTGAAGTGACATTCAGAAATCCTCAGGAATCATCTTTATCAAATTTATTTCTATAAAATAGGCGAGATCAAAGTAAGCTGTTTGTGTGACACTATAAACTAGTGTTAGGGCATAATTTCGGTATTGTGAGGAGTTCCTGCTGCGACAAATCTTGGCAGAGATGCATGCTTATGCTATTGTGTATAATTTATGCACAAGCAACAACGTACTTAGGACTTAATATTGAAGAACCCTGACGCCTGTGATTGAAGAAGCTGTGATAAGCAGGGTGAAATATTACAGGTAGCAGAATGTCAGTAAGTGTTATTTTAGGAATGTGGTCCAGAATTCTGCCAAGCAAATCCCTTTGGGAAGCATATTGACAAATTCTTTTTAAGGGATCATCTCTGATCTGTTTGGCTTGTCTGTTTCATTTTCCTTATGTTTTTGAAGCACAGTAAAATAAATTGGGTGGAATATTTTTTGTTTTGTTGTTTTTTGAGACAGGGTCTCACTCTGTATTTCCCAGGCTGGAGTGCATTGGTGTGGTTTTGGCTCACTGCACTTTCTACTTCCCAGGCTCAAGCAGTCCTCCCACCTCAGCCTTCCGAGTAACTGGGACTATATAGGCACATGCCACCATGTCCGGCTAATTTTTTTTTTTCTTTTTGAGACGAAGTCTCGCTCTTGTCGCCTAGGCTGTAGTGCAGTGACACGATCTCAGCTCATTGCAACCTCCTTCTCCCAGGTTCAAGCGATTCTCCTGCCTCAGCCTCCTGAATAGCTGGGATTAGAGGCACCCGCTACCACGCCTGGCTAATTTTTGTATTTTTAGTGGAGATGGGGTTTCACCATTCTGGCCAGGCTTGTCTTAAACTCCTGACCTCAGGTTATCTCCCTGCCTCAGCCTTCCAAAGTACTGGGATTACAGGCGTGAGCCACCACACCTGGACAGGGTATCACTATAGTGCCAAGCCTGGTCTCAAATTTCTAGGTTCAAGCGATCCTCCTGCCTCGGCCTCCCAAAGTGTTCGGATTAGAGGCCACCGAGCCTGGCCTTGATTTTTTTTTTTTTTTTTTTTATTCAAGAGACATGGTCTTGCTCCAAGCTGGAGTGCATTGGCACCTTCTTAGGTTACTGCAGCCTCAAACTTCCGGGCCCAAACAGTCCTCCTGACTCAGCGTCCCCAGTAGCTAGGACTGGGTCTCTCTATGTTGCTGTTGCCTAGGCTGGTCTTGAACTCCTGCCCTTAAGCGATCCTCCCACCTTGACCTCCCAAAGCACTGAGATTACAGGTATGAGCCACTGTGCCTGGCCAAAAATGTTTTTGATTAGGAAATCAGCTAGCCGGTAGCCCGTGTCGTGGTACAAATAAAAAATTCTAATTTTAAGCAAATTTTTAAAGTTTACCAGAAATTTGTAAAATTTATTAACTTGATGCATCTTGAAATCTAAAGAGGAAATACACCTTTGTGATTGCTATGCTTGACTTTTTTCAGTATTAATTAATGGAAGGTTGAAGGACGGGAACGTTTTTGCAGTTACTTTTGGTGACTTGGTTTGTGGCATTTTTATGTTTTAAGGTAACAGCAGTTTATTCCTCTGATAATAAGGTCAAAATTATTTTGACAAATTATCTCAATAGTTAGGAGTAATTATGTACTGTTTGGGTAAAGGGGTCTGTCTATCTATGATCTCAGAAGTTCAAAGTGAAGCTGCAGTAAAAATAGTTACTTTACAGACATATACCTTGCAGCCAACTGTGTTGTATAAATAAACTTGACAGGAACTCACATTCCCGGAGCAGGAGACCACAGTCACCCAGACACAAAGGAAAATCGTTACTAGGCTGTAAACCTCAGTTTGTATTTGGCTTTGTAGAAGTTAGACTTAGCCAACAATTGGTCTTGGCAAAGTACACTTAGGCGGTGGCTCACGCTTGTAATCCCAGCACTTTGAGAGGCCGAGGTGGGCGGATCACGAGATCAGGAGATCGAGACCACGGTGAAACCCCGTCTCTACTAAAAACATATATATATAAAAAATTAGCCGGGCGTGGTGGTGGGCGCCTGTAGTCCCAGCTACTCGGAGAGGCTGAGGCAGGAGAATGGCGTGAACCCAGGAGGTGGAGCTTGTAGTGAGCTGAGATCGCGCCACTGCACTCCAGCCTGGGCTACAGAGCGAGACTCCGTCTCAGGGAGGAAAAAAAAAAAAAAAAAGGAGCCTCTTTTCTTCTGTTTTTTTGTTTGTTTGTTTTTGTTTTTTGTTTTTTGTTTTTTTGAGATGGAGTCTCGCTCTTTCGCCCAGGCTGGAGTGCAGTGGCGCGATCTCGGCTCACTGCAAGCTCCGCCTCCCGGGTTCACGCCATTCTCCTGCCTCAGCCTCCCGAGTAGCTGGGACTACAGGCGCCCGCCACCACGCCCGGCTATTTTTTTGTATTTTTGGTAGAGACGGGGTTTCACGGTGTTAGCCAAGATGGTCTCCATCTCCTGACCTCATGATCCGCCCGTCTCAGCCTCCGAAAGTGCTGGGATTACAGGCGCGAGCCACAGCGCCCGGCCAAAAGTAGCTTATTTTCTTAGTAGTCAAGTACAAAATGACGTCTAGTTGGGTCTTGGAATGTTATTCTGAGAATTTGTATTTTGCTGAGGTGCAGTGAAGTTTTACTTTTACATAATGATCGACAATACTGAAAACATTATTTTAGGCTATATTAAACTTATTTTTAGATTAAAAAAATCTTTTGAGGAAAATTTTAAATGCCCAATAATACCAAAGTAGACAGATAGGTATAATGGGCCTCCATGTACTCCCCCAGCCCCTGAAGTGATTAGGTCATGGATCAGCCTCGTTTCACCTATCTTAGCCCTCTCCCTAATGACTGTGAAGTACATTCTAAACATGATCATTTGTCTGTAAATATTTCAGTATGTATCTCTAAAAATGGTAAGAAAACCCCCAGCACAACACCACTGCCAAACTCAAAAAGGAAACAACAATTTCTGGATATTGTCTAATGTCTCATTACTCTTCACATTTTCATTTGTGTCATAATCGTCATAAATTTAAAAAAAGTTTGAATTCATTTCTCTCTTTTGTGCTCCTTGCAGTATATTTGCTGAAGATTCTAGGTCTTGTTCTTTAGAATATCCTGCAGAGTAGATCTTGCTAATTGTGTCCCAGGGATGTCCTTGAACATGTTTCTCTGTTTCTGTTCTTTGTGAATTAGTTATTGTACTTAGGGGCTCAAACAGGTTAGGTTTGTGAGGTGAGATTACTTCATATGTGGTGGTTTGTTCATTTTTCAGGAGACTGTAATATCTGGTTGTCTTTTAAAATGCCTGGATTAAATGATAAAATGGCCAATGTTTCAGTTATTTTTCATTTTTTAGCTGGAGTATTTTTATAGAGAGAAACCTCATTTGATCAAATAGTAATTACTATTTTGATTACTTGGCAATATAATTTGTGTAATAAAAAAGGATCACACTAAATGTTGATTCTTTTGCTTTTTAAAATTGGTTTTCAGAATAACAAAATGGTTTCCCAGCATCCTGTAGTGGTGATAAATTTGTTTCTTGTTTTTGATTTCACAGTTATAAACTCATGGATTTAAACTTGCATATTTCAAGCATTCGTTGTTACTAACTTTATTGACACTCAAATTGTCCCATATTTGACCAGTGGAGGCCTCTTCAAGCTGGCTCTTGAGTCCTTTCCACAATACCATAGTATTACTCGATAGCTTCCTTTTTGTCTGCTATGTGTGAGATGAACCTAACATTTCTTGCTCTAGACCTGGAGTCAGCCATTTCTCTGAAGAGCCCTGGTCCGTTTTAGTGATAAATTCATATTTAGAAACCATATTCTGGGCACTACTGGGCTGTTCATTTTTTCTAGACCTTTTCAGTGGATAGATCTGAGAACTATATATTTGAAAGCAATGTCATTTTATATTCATCTAATTCCGATTCAGAAATGCAGCGTTTTTACTTTTCATATGCTCTTTCTGTTCTTTTTTAGTCTTATTCTTGGTAATGACTCTATCTTAGCAAGTCTGCTCATGCATTATTTTCCATGACTTAACACATAGAAGTCATTACTCTCAAGGACACTACCTTGTCCCTGGGTTTCCTTTTTATTCATGGCTTGTAGACCACTCTGGCCCACAGTGATTTCCAGATTCATAGCATGCAAGCATAACTCCCATTTAACAGTCACTGGATACTCCAGGATTTACTGAGTTTTAAAAATTGAAGTATAACATTGACAGGAAAGTACGCACATATTACGGACGGCATGCCTCTACCAGTACACCAGAAGTCCGTTCCATGCCTCTTCCCAGATACTACTCTCACTTCCTGCTCCAAAAGACAGAGAGAGAGAGAGAGAGAAATACTATCGTCCTGATTTGTAATACTGTTGGTTAGTTTTGCCTCCTTTAGAACTATAAACTTTTGTGTTTTAGCAGTCATGACTTTTGTGAGAAAGAGAGGTCTTTCTAGCCCTTTCCAACTCTTAATTTTATCTCTAGATAGCATTCAGAAAAGATGTTATCTTCATCTTTGGCATTCTCAAAACTCCTAATACCTTAGGAATATAAGTAGAAGGTCAAGCATGGTCACTTTTGGGTTTTAGTTTCCCTTTTGATTTACAGAAGCTCTGTTTGTATTAGGAATTTTAAACTTCTCCCTATTTTGCAAATATTCTTTCCCAGTCATTTGTATTTAGACTTTATTGCTGTACTAACCTTAAAGTATTTTGTGTAGCATTATTTGACTGTTGAGTTTTGTGTCCTGCATAGGAGGACCACCTCCACTCAAATTGATGTGAAAAAACACTATTCTATGTTTTCTTTTAGTTAGGTTTTATACCTCTTTGTTTATATCTGTAATCTGTCTGGATTTGGATGTAGTGTGAGGTATCCGTATCAACATTTAAACACAGATAGGATGTTTTAACATCTTTCAGCCTTTTCCATTAAAATAAAACTTGCTTGAATTTCATTTACCCGTGACTACTACACTTTTCCATCTACCGTCAAACTTTTAGAAAAAATTTCCACTTGGGTTTTTCCACTTCATCTTCTCTTTGTCCACTCAGCGTTGCCTGCATGGATTCCACCTTACCTTCACACTGACACTGCTTATGCCGAGGGCAACTGTGGCCTTTTTTTTTTAATTGAATCCAGTGGACTGAATATAGACCCCTTCTTCCCTGAGCTGTATGTGTTTATCATCATTGGATAGTTTCTCCTTTAAATGCATCTCCTTTAGCTTTAATAAAATGTTTTCTTGGCTTTTGTTTTTTTTTTTTTTTTTTTTGAGATGGAGTCTTGCTCTATCGCCCAGGCTGGAGTGCAGTGGCGCGATCTCGGCTCATTGCAAGCTCCGCCTCCCAGGTTCACGCCATTTTCCTGCCTCAGCCTCCCGAGTAGCTGGGACTACAGGTGCCCGCCACCACGCCCGGCTAATTTTTTGCATTTTTAGTAGAGACGGGGTTTCACCGTGTTAGCCAGGATGGTCTCGATCTCTTGACCTCGTGATCCGCCTGCCTCGGCCTCCCTATTTCACTGGCTTACCTTTCTCAGTTTACCTTGTGCCGCCTCCTGTTTTTTGTTTCTCAGTTGTTAATATTTTCTAGAATTCATTCGGTTACATCCCCTGCAGTTTATATTAATGCTTATCCTTGGGTGATGCATCAACTTACAACCTCAGTGATCAGCCATATTCTGATAACCCTGAAGTCTCTATCGTCAGCTCAGATTTTTTTTTCTTTCTTTTTTTTGAGTCGGAGTTTCACTCTATTGCCCAGGCTGGAGTGCAGTGGCATGATCTCGGTGACCTCCGCCTCCTGGGTTCAAGCGATTCTCCTGCCTCCCAAGTAGCTGGGACTACAGGCGCCCACCACCACCCGGCTAATTTTTGTATTTTTAGTGGAGATGAGGTTTCACTGTGTTAGCCAGGCTGGTCTCGAACTCCCTCACCTCAGATGATCCACCCGCCTTGGCATCCCAAAGTGTCGGGATTACAGGCGGGAGCCACCGTGCCCAGTAGATTTCTTTTTAAAGCAATGTATTTTTTGTCCCTAACAAAAGGCATTTAATACCAAGCCCATCACCATTTCCTCCCCTCTCTTGACAAACCTCCTCCTATGTTTCTCATTTCAGTGAATGAACAGATTTCTACCCTTGCACAGAAATCTGGTGTCAGAAAAACAGGGAGGGAGGAATTGACATTATAGGTAATGGTGTTAAAGTGTACCACTCAGTGGTGTTTCGTGTATTCACGATGTTGTGCAGCCAGCCACCAGCTCGATCTAGCTTTCAGACGTTCTCATCACACCATTAAATCGCCATCCCTATACCCCTTAAGTAATTACGCCCCCTTTCTCCCTTCCCTCATTGTCTAATCTACTTTCTGTCTCTGGATTTGCCTCTTCTGGATATATCATATAGAATAAGTCATATAACATGTGACTTTATATGTCTGCTTCTTTAACTTAGCCTGATGTTACTGAGCTTCATATATTAGTACTTCATTTCTTTCTGTGGCTGAATAGTATTTCATTGTATGTATATACTGCAGTTTATTCATTTGTCGATGGACACTTGAGTTTCTGCCTTTTGATTATTACAGCAAATGCTACTACAGACATTCATGTACAACTTGCTGTGTGGACAGATGTTAGGGTATATACCTAGAAGTGGAATTGCTGGGTCATATGGTAACTCTGCTCAACTTTTTAATCATATGTCATTTTACTTTTTTTAAAAAAAATTATTTTTTAAACTGAGACAAGGTCTGGCTCTGTTGCCCAGGCTGGAGTGCCCTGGTGTCATCTGAGGTCACTGCAACCTCCGCCTCCTGGGCTCAAGTCATCTTCCCACCTCAGCCTCCCCGAGTAGCTGGGACTGTAGGTGCACATCACTGTGCCTGGCTAATTTTTGTACTCTTTTGTTTCTTTTTTTTGGTAGAGACAGGGGTTTGCCATGTTGCCCAGGCTGGCATCAAACTCCTGGGCTCAAACGATCTGCCCACCTCAGCCTCCCAAAGTTTTGGGATTACAGCGGTGAGCCACCATGCCCAGCTCATGTCATTTTTGACTTACTACTTTAAGCCCCACTTCTTTAACATCACCAGGTTAGGTTGATTGATTCTCTTCTAAATAGCCTTGTTTTCTTCATTGTTTCGACTACTATATACTCGAGGTACACTTTTCAAGATTACTTGAATTGCTTGCTTTTTGTTTCTTTGTTCTCATCATGCCTTTTTAAACAATCTTCTACATACTACAAGATTGGTTTTTGCAAATGTAAATCTCATGAGGTCACTCCATTGTTTAAAAGAAAAAGAAAAAAAGAACCACCCTTCAAAGGCTTATCATTGCCCTCTGGATAAAGTCCAAGCATGCAGGGCTTACAAAGGCCCTTTGCTGTCCAGCTTTTGACATTCTGTTTAGTTTCAGCTGCTCCCCTGCCCCCCGCCGTTCCAGTCACATACTGATTGCCCTATTTCAAGTTTTTGTACATGCTCCTCTACCTAAAGTAGGGTTCAGATTCTAAACCTTGAATTCCCTCACCCAAATCCTTTATTTCTTTTCTTTTTAGAAGCCTTTTCTTATTCTTCATGATTATGTTATGTGCCCTTCTTTTTTGTGTGCCCTCAAATTCTTGTACTGTTGTTGGAGCACATTGTAATTGCCTGTTTACTTCTCTGGGGATCAGGAGCCGATGTTGGTCAAGTGCCAGAAGATGTAGATAGACTGAAAGTACAATTAATAGGAATTTAGCAGAAGCCAAAAGATTATTTGATAAATTATTTAGGGAAGACTTCATGGAGGGGGCTAGTATTGATAGAGACCTTGAAGGAAGCATTCATGAAGGCATGGTAAGGTTCTATCACTTTAAATGGATTAAGCCTGTTAAATATTCATGCATCTAGACCTAGGAAGATTCATGCTGGGGGCTGAAGCCATGACAAAAGTGAGACATTGGACATTTTTCAACATTGCTTTTGTATTACTTACATGGAACAAGCAAAGGACACAATTATGCCTGTAGAAGAAATGCATGGAAAGAATGGGCAAAAGATTTCAAGAACTTGGGGGTTTTGACAAGAGTAAGAAGCAATGATATGCTTTATGGAAAGTGTAAGGAAATTTTCAAGGGTAATTTTGACCATGTATACTAATTTCAGAGCTTACTCACCTATGTTTATAAACCCTGGACTTCTGGTGGAAAATGCAACAACTAGGTGATTTCTGGATATATTATAGAATCTTTCACAAGACTCTTGTGTACAGTGTTGTAGAAAATGGTCCGAGTAATGTAATGGTGTTTCTCTAGAAAAAGGTTGGAAATGAGATCAGTCATGTAGAAAATAACTCCTCACAGTGCATTTGTGTGTGCTGCACTCTGTTCCTCAGTTGACAGGAAAGTGGGACTTTCTGTTTTTTAATAGAATGTCTGCAACATAGTTGGCGCTCAGTACACATATGCGTGCATAAACAAAATAACAGTGAAAATGCTGTTCCCTTCTTAATGTGTTTGCACTTTCAATATCTTTAAAAAGTATTTTAGATTAGCCACTTTAAAGTAAAAGTACATTTCTTGTGTTTTGAAATACAGAGCTGATTTTAACTATTTGTAAAAGTCTAGTTTGCCTGTTATGCAAAAATGTTAGACTTATAAAAATCTCCCCTCACATTTCAAGAAAAGAAGCACTTCATGTTTAAACATAAATTTTTTATTTTTATTTTTGAGACGGAGTCTCGCATTGTCACCCAGGCTGGAATACAGTGGCATGGTCTTGGCTCACTGCAGCCTCTGCCTTCCAGTTCAAGTGATCCTCCTGTCTCAGCCTTCTGAGTAGCTGGGATTACAGATGTCCGCCTCCATGCCCGGCCAATTTTTGTATTTTTACTAAAGACAGGGTTTCACCATGTTGGCCAGGCTGGTCTTGAACTCCTGACCTCAAGTGATCC
Organism: Homo sapiens; assembly: GCF_000001405.40. NCBI lineage: Eukaryota > Metazoa > Chordata > Mammalia > Primates > Hominidae > Homo > Homo sapiens. The sequence goes on along the minus strand of NC_000017.11, from coordinate 4,309,034 downwards.
ACCCATCTTGGCTTCCTGAAAGCGTTGAGATTACAGGTGTGAGCCACCACGCCCTGCCTAAATATAAATTTTCACTATTGGCTTTCTCCTATTTTGCTGGCATGTTGTTAAATCGTAGTTGTTGAAATAATACCATCTCTTGATTTCCCCAAAAATTAATATCTCCTCAGTTACCTAAACATTGGTTCAGTCCTTTGTAGCACTCTGAGTTATATTATACTGCCTTTCATCATTAGACAAAGCTGCCTGAGAATGATGGCAGGTAGTATACGAGAATTACACACCTGTTGAGACTCCCAGCAAGTCCTTTTCAAACCACTCTACTCCTGTGTGTTCTTTGTCCACACTTTCCAATTTGAGCCAATGAGTACTCAGTTCCACTGGCCGGTAAAATGTGATAATTGTGTGGGTGATTGATACATGCATTCACTATTGTGATTGTTGTTGTGTTGGTTCCTCTGGTGTATATCAGTACTTATTAAATTGTGTGTGTGTGTTTTTTTTCTTTTTGAGATGGAGTCTTGCTCTGTTACCCAGGCTGGAGTGCAATGGCGTGATCTTGGCTTGATGCAACATTTGCCTCCCGGGTTCAAGCAGTTCTCCTGCCTTAGCCTTCTGAGTAACTGGGATTACAGGCACACACCACCATGCCCAGCTAATTTATTTATTTATATATTTTTTGAGACAGAGTTTTGCCCTTGTTGCCCGGGCTGGAGTGCAATGGCGCGATCTTGGCTCACCACAACCTCTGCCTCCTGGGTTCAATCAGTTTTTCTGCCTCAGCCTCCCGAGTAACTGGGATTACAGGCATGTGCCACTACGCCCAGCTAATTTTGTATTTTTAATAGAGACGGCGTTTCTCCATGTTGGTCAGTCTGGTCTCAAACTCTCGACCTCAGGTGGTCCACCTGCCTCGGCCTCCCAAAGTGCTGGGATTACAGGTGTGAGCCACCACGCCCGGCCAAATTGTATAATTTAAGTATGTGCAGTTCACTGAATGTCAGTTATACCTCATTAAAGTTGTTTAAAAATTTCTCACATGATCTGCTCACCATCAGGAGGCCAGTACTTTATTAAGTCTGGTGTCTCTGGAAACATTCTGGGCTCTGTACCGCTGCTCACCTGCTCCTTAAGGTCCCTGTCTTGGCCTGTGTGCCCCCACCTTGCCAGTTCCTCGCCTCTCTTGTTTCCCACCCTGTCATCCTTTCTCCATGCCACAGCACTCTCTTTAGAGGAGGAGAACCTCACGATGCTGCAGCCATTCTGTATGCTCCAGGTGTTACTCTTAAGCTGCTCCTCTGTCCCAGAAGCTGTGGCTCTCAGAGGGTCGACATATACAGACAAGACATATGGGGCCCCTGCTCTCCTTGTGCTCAGAGATGGATGGGCACACAGGAGCACCCACTGTAGAAGCAGGTCCCCAAGACTACAGGGACAAGTCAAATAGGTGTACAAATGTTAGTATAAATGAAAGTTATTAAGCGCAGTACATTCCAATGAAAAGGTATGATTAGACACTCTGAAAGTATACCCTGAAGACAGCAGCATAAGAATTGCCAACATGATTTGATTTCCAGGGCTCCCTCTCAATGAGAATCTCTGGGGGACGGGCCTGGATATCTGCATTTTAACAAGCTTCCTTAAAAGACCACTGTAGGGCCACTTAGAATGACAAGAGCCTGGCTGGATACCAGTAGAAGTTGATCTTCTGGATAGTTTGCTTTACCCAGGGCTTTCTTACAGTATAGGCATGAAAATGTTTTGGCCATCAAGTAGCATTTTGCCTGGCAAGGTATATCTATTTAATGGTTTAAAACTTACATAAAACATGTACGCTCAAGTTCTGTAATTTATCTACTGGATGCAAATTATGTGCTTAAATGTATTGATTAAACTTTTCTTTTTCCACAGAACTCAACAAAAATCCAGTGGAAGGCTTTTCTGCAGGTTTAATAGATGACAATGATCTCTACCGATGGGAAGTCCTTATTATTGGCCCTCCAGATACACTTTAGTAAGTATAATGGAACTGACATCTTCAAAATGGAGCTCTTTTAATACACTGAATTAAAAACTATTTTGGCAGGCTGGGCACGGTGGCTCACACCTGTAATCCCAGCACTTTGGGAGGCCAAGGCGGGCCGATCATGAGGTCAGGAGTTCGAGACCAGCCTGGCCAATGTAGTGAAACCCCATCTCTACTAAAAATACAAAAATTAGCTGGGTGTGGTGGCATGCACCTGTAGTCCCAGCTACTCAGGAGGCTGAGGCAGGAGAATCACTTGAACTCAGGAGGCAGAGATTGCAGTGAGCTGAGACCACGCCATTGCACTCCAGCCTGGGTGACAGAGTGAGACTCCATCTCAAAACAAAACAAAGCAAAACCACAAATATTTTGGCAAACTGACATGAAATTATTTTTTAAGGAGCAGGAGAAATGGCTGTATTCAATATCCTTTGTACTGAATTTGATCATGGAAGAGTTTTTGTGTTTTGCTTGAAGCTCTAATGTCTAAGACCTATTGCTATTAAAAATAATAGTTTCAGGCCGGGCGCGGTGGCTCATGCCTGCAATCCCAGCACTTTAGGAGGCTGAGGTGGGTGGATCACCTGAGAGGTCAGGAGTTTGATACCAGCTTGGCCAACATGGTGAAACCCCATCTCTACTAAGAATACGAAAATTAGCTGGGCATGGTGGCATGCCTGTAATCCCAGCTACCCGGGAGGCTGAGGCAGGAGAATCACTTGAACTCAGGAGGCAGAAGAGTTATATAATTTTTGGACATTTTAATTGAGAATGTATTACACACATCAGTGTTTTAAGAAGGCTAAGGAGAACTTTCAAGATCGTCTCTTTTCATGGTTCTCTACTTGAGTCCCCACCGAATACTGGTTAGAATCTAGGTGTTCTTATCCCAAACTAAACTAATGGTCACTTTCTCCTAGTTTATTGAAAGTTATTGTTATGCTCTATGATAATCTATTAACTGACTATTAATTGTTAAACCAATGGCTTAAGGATAGACAACAATGTAGTGGTGTGAAAGAGCAGTAGAAGAAGAGAAATAGAGTTTAAAAATATTTCATGTCGTACATTTCTAGATGCAAAGACCACAGTCTTCTTTTCTGCTCTGAGTGTTTGCAGACTAACTTAAATTTACTAGTATGTATTGTTTTGTAAGATGCATCTGCTGGCTTGGTGCGTTGGCTCACGCCTGTAATCCCAGCACTTTGGGAGGCTGAGGCGTGTGGATCACCTGTGGTCAGGAGTTCAAGACCAGCCTGGCCAACATGGTGAAACCCTGTCTCTACTAAAAATACAAAAATTAGCTGGGCATGGTGGCGGGCGCCTGTAGTCCCAGCTGCTCAGGAGGCTGAGGCAGGAGAATCGCTTGAATCCGGGAGGTGGAGGTTGCAGTGAGCCAAAATTACGCTACTGCACTCCAGCCTGGTGACAGAGCGAGACTCCGTCTCAAAAAAGAAAACAAAACCGTCTCTGGTCTTTGGTGTACATTTTTAAAAGTGTTGGCTGTTGAATTGAGATGTGAATCACAGCAATATTTCTGGCAGCTCTGCTGGAGTGTGTATATGCTGCTGAGAATACTGGTGGTCACTTCTGGACTGTGCCTTCCTGAGATCACTAGCCTTTGCTCAGGAAAGAGAGAGCATATTCCTAGGGCAGGACCTGAGAAAGGCAAAGGAAGGTACAGGGGAATGAAGAAAGGTTTGTTAGAAGTAAGCCTTTTAGAATGCTACCAAGAACCATGTACTTCATAGAATGCTTAAAAAATATTTGTTGTCGGCCGGGCGTAGTGGCTCACGAGGCCGAGGTGGGCAGGATCACCTGAGGTCGAGAGTTGGAGACCAGCCTGACCAACATGGAGAAACCCTGTCTCTACTAAAAATACAAAAAATTTAGCCAGGTGAGGTGGCATATGCCTGTAATCCCAGCTACTCGGGAGGCTGAGGCAGGAGAATCGCTTGAATCCAGGAGGCAGAGGTTGCAGTGAGCCGGGATCGTGTCACCCACTCCAGCCTGGGCAACAAGAGCAGAACTCTATCTAAAAAAAAAAAAAAAAAAGTTCTTAAAAAACTTCTTAGCAGAAAGTAGTGAGGTTCTTGTAATTATTTCAGTGGAATGGAGAGAGTAGAGGCCATCTTGGAATTGTTTGAAGAGCACTATTGGAAGTGAATATATACACCTTACGTTTAAATAACTGCCTGTGAAGGGAAGTAGAGGCTTGTGCTGGGGGGAGGGGTGTTATAGGATTGAAAATAAATTAGTATAGGCTCAGATGGTACCCAGACCTAAGTGATTAATTCACCACTTTATAATTAGATAATAGAAATACTGTACCAAAATTCTGTAAAAGCTGCTGTGATTATCTCTCTGTGCCATCATTAGCCCTCATGTAGTCACTAGAGGGCGCTCCACTCTCTTTTCAGTCTATGTGATTGATAACCGGTACCGTTCAAGGATTACTTTGAGACTCCTATAGTTGCCACAAGTCTTAATTCAGTCATACTCATATTTATATAGCATTACATTTTTATTTTTATTAATGAGTCTTTCCAGTGCAGTAGTCCCTAAGGCCTTTCTATGAAATGTACATTCTGAAACTGGTGTGGTATACCAACTGTTTTCAGACTGATTATCAAACAGTATGGATAACCACTCATATCCACAGAAATTAAAATTTCAGGTAGAAGTGGCAATAGGTTTGTAGTACGGAAGTTTAGGGTGGATACAGTGGCTCACGTCTATAATCCCTACACTTTGGGAGGCCAAGGGTGGATCGCTTGAGCTCAGACGTTGGAGACCAGCTTCGGCTACATGGCAAAACCCTGTCTCTACAAAAAAAAATACAAAAATAAGTCAAGCATGGTGATGCATGCCTGCAGTCAGGAGGCTGAGCCCAGGAGGTGGAGGCTGCAGTGAGCCAAGATTACGCTACTGCACTCTAGCTTGGGCAACAGAGCTAGACCCTGTCTTAAACAAACAAACAAAACCAGAAAGTCTAAGAAACCTGGATATCACTGTATCATTATAACATTTTATAAATTATTAATGAATGATGACTGTATAACTTTTATCTCTCTTTTCCTTTCATCACCAGTGGCTGGTCTGTTCAAGGAGTATGTCTTATTTATTTATTTTGTTTTTAAGCACTGGCAATGATATGAAAAATCTGGAGAATCTTAAGATTATGTGTTTTGTAGTATTGCCTTGGGTAGATATAGAAAATGAAGAATCAGTTAACCAAAACTCTGAATTACATTCTTTTACAGTTGCAAAATTCTATTCCAGTTATAAATTATTTTCCAGTCCTGTGTGAGACATAGAGGCAGAAGCCATCTCTTCTGTAATGAAGTTCTGGAGGGAATGAACCTAGTGCCTACATTGCTTGGAAATGGAATGATCAGTGGTAATGCCATGCGGTTTATCACGTAGTGTTCAAGAACATGGACTTTGGGGACTGCCTTTGGTTAGCTCTCTAACTCTACCACTCTTCTTAGTTGAGTGACTTTGAACAATTACTTAAATTTGGTCTTAGCAGTTTCATTTCTAGGGTAAAAACCCTATGCTTAGGAAATGTTTCAAATGTTCCATGTTCTATTGCTTATAATAGCAAAAAAAAAATTATTTTTTCCCCTTTTGCAGTTTTATTATTTATTTTTGTAAATGTCAATTATAATTCGAAGGACACTTTGTAGTTACTAATTAGACTATATGAAAAACTGTACAGACTGTTTGTACTATAATTTGTGTCCCTAAGAGATTAGGGGACTCAGTAACAGAAAAATCAACTCAGAAGGGTCACTGCTCAGCAGTCCACATAACCACATAGTAGAGCCCAAGCTACTGGTTGTGAGTAGAAAGAGACTTCATACAAATATCTTCACATGTCTTCTAGCATTATGCCCCTACCAGGAAAGGGAATGTCTGTCACAATTTTTTTTTTTTCTGCTGTAAGATAAAGAAAAGGCTGTATCCCTTAGACACATACTTAATGAAGACAATCTCAAAAGAAGCTCCTGTGTTTTTCTGTTTTCACTGTTCTTTTCTGAAGTTCACCTGGATGTTCCAGAGCAGTTTTCTAAACCTTTCATTGTTGGTTGGCCTTTTGTAGAATTCTTCAGCAACACACAATACAGAAGACACAGGCTAAAATAGTTCTCACAAATACACTTTGAAATAGGTGTATTTGGATATAAATACAACTTGCCATTCCATTATTTTTTTTCTCATGACTAAACTCTAAATTTTTAAAAATGGAGATTTTCAAACCAGTGATGTGCAAAAGCCCATTCTCATGACACAGTCATTTAAACTTATTAAGTATGGGAAAATTTTATTTCTTCCCTTTGTCTTGTGGAATAATTTAGGTTCTCACCCTGGGCATGATTCACAAAATAGAGTAAGACCACAGATAAAAGTCACATAGAATCACAGGCAATGAAGAAAACTTCTAAAAACAAATATCCCCCAGTGTCCAGTATCATCCATCCCAGCAGTGATGGAAATGATGGCCACCCCAAGATTCTGAATGGAGTGCGTGAAGCCATATGCAGTTCCCAGTTGATGTTCAGGAACTACAGATGCCACTGTTGGCCAAAATGCACAGGCAAGCGATGAATAGGAGATTCCCAGAAGACACAGCAACCCAAGGGCTCCACATCATAAAGGCCAGCATCATGTGGGACACAAGAGTGGCTGCAACCACACGCAGAACCCAGATGCTGTTCTTCCCCGTGTCATCCACTGGGAGCCCAAATACTGGGGTGTGGGAGCTGATAACGACATATACAACACTGTTCATTGCACTTGCTGCCTGGAAAGAAAATCCAAATTTGTCTGTAAAGAAAACTTTCCCAAGTCCAATAAAAGGGAACATGGCAACACAATAGCAGACACAGATGATAAATATGAGCCACAGGGGTAAGGAGAAATCCTTTACATCAGTTAATGTAAAAACTTCCCCCCCCTTTTTTTGTTGTTGTTGTTCTTTATGAAGGATTCTCTCTGCTCTCGCATCTAAGTAAGCAAGAGCCAAGGAAGGCACAGATTAGTGAAAGAATACATTTTATACCCCCAATCTTAAGTGTGACCCCAGGGGTTGTGTGACCAGCAGAACCCCACGAAGCTTCAATCTTAGAATACAGCCAACTCACGAAGTTCATGTTTACCGTACTTCCAATTCTAGCCATGCTAAATTGTTGGAGTCCAGACACCAGGTTTAATTCTTTGTCTTTAAACCAGCTGACAGCATATGTCCTGGGCAACTGCTGAGCACTCCCCACCAATCCAAACACAAGTCTTTCAAATTCCATCAGCCAAAAAACATTAAATATTCCACCCAGAACAAAACAACCTGTCCAGTGCAAATAAAACAGCTAAAAGTAATTGTGCCCCATCATATTCCAAATACTCGGTCTTTTAAAAAGCCACCAAAGAAACACAAAACTACATTGGGCCAAGAATACCAGGCATATAGCAGCATGAATTTCATGGTGTTCACCTGCCTGTTCCGTTTATCCTGAGTCTGAAGGGCAGCAGGATTATTATAGCAAAAATAGCTGCTGAAGCCAAGGAAACACATCAATAACAGCATCAAAAGTCATAGCCAGGTGACTGGAGGCCACAGAAGGGCCAGCAGCACCCATGCTTTCTCATCCTTCTCCTCCATTGCGCCCGTGGGAGGCTGAGAGGCAAAAGGGGTGACAACTCCAGGACCTGGCAGAAAAGCAGTGCCCACGGAGCACAGCCAAGTCAGTGATCACATGACTATGTGATTCTGACTATCATAGAATAATAGTGAACTGTGGCGGATAGAATGAATGGACAAGAGACAGCTACAACAGGACTATAGATTAATAGAACAATGTTGAGCAAATTGCAGACGGCAGCATACAGCACATTATTTACATAAAATAAATATGGCAGTATGGTAGGATTTGATCCTTGTAAGATTTTTATAATTTAACTCAAAAACAGTAATGGAGGCCTCATGGAAAAAAATTGAACTAGGCCTGGGTTTTTAAACACTTTCAAATGTGAAACTGCTGGTTACATATCTCTCTCTCTCTTTTTTTTTTGTTTGAAAACAGAGTCTGACTCTGTTGCTCACTGCAACCTCCGCCGCCTGGGTTCAAGTGATTCTCCTACCTCAGCTTCCTGAGTAGCTGGGATTATGGGCACCTGTCACCATGCCTGGCTAATTTTTGTAGTTTTTAGTAGAGATGGGATTTCACCATCTCGGCCATGCTGGTCTTGAACTCCTGACCTCATGATCTACCCGCCTCAGCCTCCCAAAGTGCTGGGATTACAGGTGTGAGCCACCGTGCCCGGCCTACATACCTCTTTTTAATATCATGATAGTACTTATACTATAGCATCTGTGATGAAGATAATATGTAATGAAAGATATTTTGAATTAATTGGTGCCTTTTTAAATTTTATTTTATTTATTTATTTATTATTATTATTTTTGGAGACAGAGTCTTGCTTTGTGGCCCAGGCTGGAGTGCAGTGGCACAATCTTGGCTCATTGCAACCTCTGCCTCCCAGGCTCAAGCCATTCTCCTGCTTCAGCCTCCTGAGTAGATGGGATTACAGGCACCTGCCACCACGCCTGGCTAATTTTTGCATTTTTAGTAGAGACGGCGTTTCACCATATTGGTCAGGTTGTTTTCGAACTCCTGACCTCAAGTGATCCGCCCGCCTCAGCCTCCCAAAGTGCTGGGATTACAGGCGTGAGCCACCTTGCCTGGCCACAGTCACATCTTTCTATATTTGAAAAATAGTGGATATGTGACATGTTAATGTGTAGTCTACAGTGTTATTCTACTCTATGGGTTTTGGGCTTTCTCTTTGCTAACTTGGCTGCTCGGTAGAAGTTTGCACGCACAAGTTGGGTACTAGTTAGTTAAGCATCAAAAAAAAAAAGCAGGTAGGCCAGGTGCGGTGGCTCAGAAGGTCAGGAGTTCAAGACCAGCCTGGCCAACATAGTGAAACCCCGTCTCTACTAAAGATACAAAAATTAGCGGGACGTGGTGGTGTGCGCTTGTAATCCTAGGTACTTGGGAGGCTGAGGCAGGAGAATCTCTTCAACCCGGGAGGCAGAGCTTGCAGTGAGCCGAGATCACGCCACTGCACTCCAGCCTGGGCGACAGAGCAAGACTCCATCTCCAAAAAAAAAAAAAAAACTAAAAAAAGGAAAAGAGGGGAGGGGCAGGTAGAATTTCCACAGGTAAAATAGAAGAAGAGGGGTCCACAGATAGGAGAAAAACTCAGAAATGCTATGGTTGCTTCAGAGTGGGCAAGGCCATTTTCAGATAGAGTGAAAATTGTGTGCTTTAAATTTTTAGGGCTACTCTTTTAGTTGAATTTGGTTGACATTTTAGAGATTGAAAACAATTTAGAGGGTCTAAGTCAGTTTTTCATGATGAGGATTCCAGTCAGCTATTATGAAGCTTTTTAGTGAATGTAACCAATCAAAAGTAAGTGACGTGGGAAAGCTGACTTAATGTTGTCAAGGAATCAAGTGGCAAGTGGCTGCCAGTAGAATCAAGTGCAGGGGCTTTGTGGCAGTGGCTTTGATGTCCTTTTACATTGACTCTTTTTTTGTTGTTGTTGAGACAGAGTCTCACTCTGGCACCCACGCTGGAGTGCAGTGGCACAATCTTGGCTCACTGCACCCTCCACCTCCCAGGTTCCAACAATTCTCCTACCTCAGCCTCCCAAGTAGCTGGGATTACAGGTGCACGCCACCATGTTTGGCTGTTTTCTGTAATTGTGGCTTTCAAACCCATAATTAGAAATACTTTACATCATGACGCAGTGCATACATATGTATATATAGATTAGTGAATAAAACACATACATAGATTATATAACTGAAACTACTTGTGATAAACTCTGTTTTCTATTTTTGTTAACAAAAAAACTTTGATAGTGACTCATTAAATTGCTTTTGCAGCCCTGTTTGAAAAACTAGTCCATGTAATCAGTATATCCTAAGACCCATTTTGGCACTAACTTACACAGAGCAACAGGATCAGTAGATAAAGACTTAACTCTTTTTGGTGTAATGCACTCTTCACAACAGCTATTCCAGTCTCTATTCCCTCAAGCCCTCATGCTTCTTCCTTTCAATAGATAACCTCATCAGTTGTGAAAAGTAAGGCGCTATGGTGGGCCTTACTTCATTTCTACATTTCTTCGAATATCTCTTTTAAAGCGCTTGTTTTGTACAGTTTCCCCATCTAGTTACTATCTTCAACTGTTAAATTTTTTGTATAAATTGTCCTGTTTATTATGCTTAAGTACTTTACTACCCTGTTCTTTAACCCTTTACAGCTTTTTTTCCTATTGCTTTTTACTAAAAAAATTGTATTATCAAGGTCACTGACTTTATACTCTGAGTCCTGTGGCATTTCCTAATTATTCAGAAATGTTTGGTGTTAATGATCTGTCTCTTTTTTTAAACTTAATCTGCACCTTCCCCATGTCTTATGATCAGAAAAAGCAATAAAAATTCATACTTGCTTGTGAACAGTTCAAGCTATATTAAAAAGAGCAGAGAGTAAAAGATCTCGTAACACTAACTATTGTTAGTTAACTATTGTTATGTATTGATGTCCTGTTTCTGGACATTTTTCTATGTGTATACAAACACACCCCCAATTTTTCACTTGTTCTTTCCTTTCTTTTCTTTTTTCTTTTCCCAGGCTGGAGTGCAGTGCAGTGGTGCAATCACAGCTCTCTGAAGCCTCAACTTCTTGGGCTGAAGGGATCCTTCCCCCCTCAGCCTCTCAAGTAGCTAGAATTACAGGCATGAGCCACTGTGTCCGGCCTCCCACTTTTTCTTTAAAGACAAATTAGCTTGTTTTAGAAATACCTGCTTTTAAAAATGTAACAATAGATTCCTCATATCATTCCATGACAACACTTACTACTGATATTTTTCTTGGTAGATATTTTCCTTCTGCCACTAAAATGATAAGCTCCACAGTGCTCTTTAATGCTTTGTTCTCTGTTGTATCCTTTTACGTAGACCAATGGTTAGAGTAACTGGGTAATCAATGTATATTTGTTCAGTGAATGAAAACCATTTAATGAGCTGAGAATTTCATTTCTCACTGATCTGAAACAACCACAATCATGATTCTAATGGTTGGACACATTGAACAACAGAAGAATCAGATGTGCAAATGGTACTGCAATAAAGAAATTTAAAGAGGTCAATGTACTAGAAGGGACCTGGTGGCTAGTTTAGATTTTAGTCAAATAAAATCTTTCTAGAGGTAACGTTTAAGCTGAGTACCGAATGATAATCAGAAGACAAAGGGAGAAAAGTATTTCCAACAGAGGAAATATTTAGTACCAAGGCCGCAAGACAGAAATTTAGTATTTTTGCCCTTTAAGGCTGACTTGATCTCTGTGGTTTTAGTTAATGTATACAACTCATTGTATTGTTCTTTTGATGATTCCTTAAGAATGACTGCTGATTAAGTGTCAGTGATCTGGAGGTGTATTGTCTAAAATAGCAGTCACAGGGCATATTTCAAGTGGTTGGTGGCTACATTATTGGACAGCACAAATACAGAACATCTCCAGCATTACAGTTTGGTTTTACAGTGCTGTTCTGGAAAGTCACTCTTGAGATTTTTTTTGCTGCTATACCCCTGGAGTTTGACACATAAATGCCGAGTAAATACTTGTTAAATGATGAAATGAATAAATGGATAGATGGAGGCAATATATCTATTCCTAGATAAGGAAAAAGAAAATGTCCATAAGTTTTGAGATGAGAAAGGGTTTGATGTGTTTGAGGAATAGAAAGACGACTGGCTAGTTTCAAATCAACATAGAGAAATTGGTGATGTTAAACCTTCTGAATTTTGTTTTAAGTGCACTGGGAAGTGATGGAAGGGTTTGTAGCATAGCAGTAATATGATCTGATCTGATCTGGTGTGAATGTCTTTTTAGCAGATGATTTCATTTTACCAGCTCTCTTGAAAGTTTAATCAATGTGATAGCCATGACAGTTTATTAAACTACTTATTTGAGAAAGTAACTGCCTGTGGGAATCCAGATTATTTGTTTACTTCATTTTTGATGTTAGTGCTAGCACCCTTGTTTTATATTTGTTTTAACACTTCTATACTTAAAAGCAGGAACTTATAGGCAAGAACTTCTTTTTGTTCTTTTTTCCAGTGAAGGTGGTGTTTTTAAGGCTCATCTTACTTTCCCAAAAGATTATCCCCTCCGACCTCCTAAAATGAAATTCATTACAGAAATCTGGCACCCAAATGGTAAGTTTATCTAGTTTTACTTTTACATTTGCAGATTTGATGGCCTGTTATTGAAGTGTTCAAGGTCAATAAGAAAGATCTGTTTCTCAGTGAAATTGCTTTGGCATTTTTGTACTGTTCATTGTGCACATGGCTGTGTACTAAAACCTTTAAAAGGAGGAGAGGCCAGGTGCAGTGGCTCACACCTGTAATCCCAGCAGGCCAGGCAGGCGGATCACTTGAGGTCAAGAGTTGGAGACCAGCCTGGCAAACATGGTGAAACCCCATCTCTACTCAAAATACAAAAATTAGTTAGGCATGGTGGCACACACCTGTAATCCCAGCTACTTCGGAGGCTGAGGCACAAGAATCGCTTGAACCCGGGAGGTGCAGGTTGCAGTGAGCCAAGATCACACCACTGCACTCCAGCCTGGGCAGCAGAGTGAGACCGTGTCCCAAAAAAGAGAAGGAGAAACAGAGATCATGTGGAAAAAGTTATTTTTTATTTATTTACTTAGTTTTCAGTTTGGTTTGAGACTCGTGTTTTAAACCAGAGGGCATGGTTACTGAGGGATAACATCAATAGAACTCCTATAATTGAGGGGATAATTATCAAGGTATTAGATGATTCACTGGCTATTACAAAGAACACAGAAATTATGAAACCTGGTTCTGTAACTTATAGTTTTTCATATTATTTTTATACCATGGACAACTCTTCTATGTGTATTCATAGGTGTAAGATTACTGGCAGTGTCATATGAAACAACGTATTACATTTTTTAAGCCTGGAAAGCATCTAGTATGGCTGTGCACGTAGTGATGACATTGACTTTTTTTACTTAAAGAAGAGCTACCACTTCAAATCCACACGGTGGCAGTTCTCCTGCCTAGCCAGCTGCCACTGGACTCTCTCCCCTGTATATAAGCCCCCAATAACTACGTCTTATTTAAAAATTAAAAAAAAAATTCTCTATAAAGTAAAATAAAGTCCCCAAAGTTTAGGCCAGATAAGCTATATTTATAAAACAGTCTCTCTGAACTTTTGGCTTTGTTTTGTATGATAGAACTTGCAGAGATTTCTTTTCTAATTATTTTGACTATGTAATCAGAGTTGTCTCTTTAGGCTATTATACTAATTTGCATTTGGCTTCGCATCATCAAGACTTCTGGGTGCAGGGAATAGAAACATATAGATTAGTTTAAGCTGGAATCAGCGAGACAGGAATGAATGATTGAATGAAGTTAAACAAGGATTTATCGGAAGGATATGGAATACGTAATAGAAGCCAAGGCTTGAAAACCAGATGGGCATTAGGAGAGACTGGAACTGGCAAATGGAGAACTACTGGGAGCCAAGGGACTTAGCGTATTTTATTGCATCTAAGGCAGCAGTGATCGTAAAAGATAGTGATTTTTCCTACCAGTAAGAAGAGGAAAATATCTCTAACAGTTGATGGCAGAATGCATTAACCGTATTCCTGCATGATGCGGGCATGCATGAATGGGTGACGCTTGCCTCTTGTGCTTTGGCTTTTCTTTTATCTCTTCCTAGGCTTTCGACAGTTTCTTCTACCTTCACTTGCATTACTTGATTATAATAGGCAATCGTTTTGCACCTATTTCGAAGATGTAACAGATTCTGAATGTTGGCTTCACCACAGACTAGCTGTGTAACTCTAGGCAAACCCTGTTGGAGCCTTAAGCTAGCTAGCTTGCCTTCCTCCCTCCCTCCGTCTCTCCTTCCCCCACTCTGCCCCTCCTTTTCCCCTTCTCTCCCTCTCTCGCTCCCTCCCTCCCTCACGTACGTTTCTCCCATTCCGTCCTTTTTTTCTAAGACAGGGTCTCACTCTGCCACCCAGGCTGCAGTGCAATGGCATGATCACAGCTCACTGCAGCCTTGACCTCCTGGGCTCAAGTGATCCTCCCAAGTAGCTGGGATGACAGGGACACGCCACCACACCCAGCTAATTTTTGTTTTTTTTTGTAAAGACGGGGTTTCACCATGTTGTTGGCCAGGCAGGTCCTGAACTCCTGGGCACAAGTGATCTGCCCACTTTGTCCTCCCAAAGTACTGGGATTACAGGCATTAGCTACCACGCCAGGCCTATGTTTTCTATCTGTGAAAATTAGATGAAAACATACATGTAAGCAAATACATGGGAGACTTCCCTTCTGGTAAAAAGAAAGAGAGCAATCACCTAGGTAGTTTAAGAGGACAGCTGATAAAATGGTGGTGTGTTTTGTTTTAAGGTTGAAGAGACTTTTTTTTCTTTTCTTTTCTTTTCGTTTCTTTCTTTTTTTTTTTTTTTTTTTTTTTTTGAGACGGAGTCTCACTGTCTCGCCCAGGCTGGAATGCAGTGGGACTATCTTGGCTCACTGCAACCTCTGCCTCCTGGGTTCAAACGATTCTCTTGCCTCAGCCTCCTGAGTAGCTGGGATTACAGGTGTCCACTACCACGCCTGGCTAATTTTTGTATTTTTAGTAGAGTCGGGGTTTCACCATGTTGGACAGGCTGGTCTTGAACTCCTGACCTCATGTGATCTGTCTGCCTCAGCCTCCCAAAGTGCTGGGATTATAGGCGTGAGCCACGCGCCTGGTCTTAGATGGAATTTTGAATGAAGATGATGCTTGGCTTGAACTTCATTCTTTAGGCTGTGAGGACTCATTTAATTCATGACATTTAAAGCTGTACATATTGTCATGACAAAAAGAGAAAATGACAAAAAATAAAAAAGCTATGTAATAGGTTTCTCTTATATTTTCCTTCTTGAAAGATTACACTCATAGAAGATTGGAAGGGGAAGTCAGAGAGATAGCAGGGAGGTAGAGCATTTTAGCAATAATTTGAGTAAAAAACAATAAAAACTTGAACTAAGAATAGTGTTGCAGGAAGGGTAATTTAGTTTCTTTGACTTGACTGCCAGAGGTGAATGGTAAAGGAGAAGTAAGAGTTTAGGATTGACTGGCCATTTACAAAAATAATTATAGAGTGAAAACCATAATGAAATACCACTTTTTACCCACTAGGATTCCTATAATCAAAAAGATAATAACAAATGTCAATGAGGAAGTAGAGAAATTAGAACTCCCATGCACTACTGGCAAGAAGGTAAATGGTGCGGGTGTTTGGAGAAGAGCCTGGCAGTCCTCAAAAGGTTAAGCATAGTTACCATAGGACCCTGCACTTCCATCCTAGGAACCTAACCAAGAAAACTGAAACACATGTCCAGAAAAACTCGAACACGAGTGTTCACAGCAGCATTTATTATTCATAACAGCCAAAAAGTAGAAACAGCCCAAATGTCTATCAGCTGATAAATAGAAAAACAAAATGTGGACCCATATAACGGAATATTATTTGGCAATAAAAAGAAATGAATTACATGATATTGTTTTCTAAAGAAAAGAAAGAAATGAAGTAGTGATACTTGCTACAACATAGATGAACCTTGGAAACATTATATTAAGTGAACAAAGTCAGTCGTAAAAGGTGACATAGTGTACGATTCCCTTTATATGAAATGTCAAGAATAGACAAATCCATAGAGACCGAAAGTAGGTTAGTGGTTCCCTACTGCTGGAGGGGAGGTGGGGGGGATTGAGGAATGGTTGCTAACTGGTACTGCGTTTCATTGTAGGGTGAAAAAATACTCTAAAATTGATTGTGGTATTGATTGTACAACTCTGTAGACATACTAGACAGAAACCATTAAATCGTGCTTTTCAAATAGGTGAATTGTATAGTAGGTGAGTTATAGAGATGTTATAAAATTATTATAGGGGAATAGTTTTATGTGACTGACCTTACATATATTCAGCTTTTCTTGAGGTATACTTGCTACACCCAGTTAGATAATTAGTTAAACCAGTCCAGGGTTCAGCAATGAGCTTAAGGGCCTTGGAAGTTACTGTATCAGGATGATAGATAACATGATAATGAATGGGTTAGTTTTCCTACGGAAAATATAGTTAATGTTGGAGATTAGGATAACATCAAAAGTCAAATTAAGGAAAATGAAAACTAGAAAGTGACTGAGAGAATGTTCAAGAACCAGGGGAAAACAAGAGTACCACAGATGCCAGGGGAGGAAAATGTATCCAGCAAAGTGTTGTCACAGTATTAGTTGTCTTGGCCCAGAGGGGTGACTTCAGGTAGCTGAAAGTACCCAGGAGAATAAATATGCTATCCAGACCACTTGTGGACACAGTTGTAGCATCCTGCTAGGGAGAAGCCAGTTTCTAGGAGAATAAAGGAATACCTGAGTAGTAAGTAAATAGAGAAGATGAGGGTAAATCAGTTTTTCAGAATTTTAGGTGCATGGCCTCAAGAAAAAGGAGGTAGCTAGAAGTATATGCATTGTTTAGGCAGCTTAGTTTTGTTTGTTTGGTTTTGGTTTGGGTTTTTTTTTTTTTTTTTTTGAGACAGAGTCTCACTCTGTCGCCCAGGCTGGAGTGCAGTGGCTCACTGCAACCTCCGCCTCCCAGGTTCAAGCAATTCACCTGCCTCAGCCTCCCGAGTAGCTGGGATTACAGGTGCGTGCCACCAAGCCCGGCTAATTCTTGTATTTTTATTAGAGATGGGTTCACCATGTTGGCCAGGCTGGTCTCGACCTCAGGTGATCCGCCCGCCTCAGCCTCCCAAAGTGCTGGGATTACAGGCCAGCCATACATTACAGTGGGCCGAGCCACTGTGCCCGGCCCAGGTAGCTTAGTTTCATCTCTAATGAACACTGAAATGAAAGAAAAAAGTAACAAGCAAAAATTATATGGGGAAAACTAAGAAACACCGTGGCAAGAGGAAAGTAAACATTAAGTACATAACTGGCTAAAGGATAAGAACAGACATTTCACAAAAGAGGAAGGACATACAGGTTATATCCATGGAAAGTTGTCACCCCAAAAGCATTTAGAAAAGTGAATTAAACCAGATGTTATATATGAAATTTAAACAGCATCAATAAAGGAAAATGTTCATCCTGAGGAGGCAATGAAATGGCCATCTCAGATTGCTGATGGCAGTATAAATTGATACAATCCTTTAAAATATGGTTTGATAATAGGTATTAAGCCTAAAAATCTTCTCATTCTAAAATAAATGGTATGTTTAAAATGACATGAGAAGGTTAAAAATGTAAAGATCCTGGATTAGTGATAACTTGATTTTTTTTAAAAAGGAAAATGGATCTTATATAGTGGTGGTAGAATTCTGTACACATATTTAATAGCATGTTTTTAAAGAAAAATGACTTGGAAAAAATCCTTATTACACA
Source organism: Homo sapiens (assembly GCF_000001405.40). Taxonomy (NCBI): domain Eukaryota; kingdom Metazoa; phylum Chordata; class Mammalia; order Primates; family Hominidae; genus Homo; species Homo sapiens. Next base: position 4,291,463 of record NC_000017.11, on the reverse strand, counting down.
GTAAGTACAGAAAACATTGTAAAATAGTAATACTCTATGAAATTTTTATGCTGAATTTTGTAGTGTTACAAGTTTTGATGTTATTCCTTTTTTTTTTTTTTTTTTGAGATGGAGTTTCGCCCGTTGCCCAGGCTAGACTGCAGTGGTGTGATGTTGGCTCATGGCAACCTCTGCCTCCCGGCTTCAAGCAATTCTCCTGCCCCAGCCTCCCAAGTAGCTGGGATTACAGGCATGTGCCACAACAGCCAGCTAATTTTGTATTTTTAGTAGAGATGGGATTTCTCCATGTTGGCCAGGCTGGCCTCAAACTCCTGACCGCAGGTGATCTGCCCTCCTCGGCCTCCCAAACTGTTGGGATTACAGGCGTGAGCCACCACGCCCGGCCCTCGGTGTTATTCTGGCCCTGATTCTATTTTAGTAAATAGATTTTACTAGCAGATAGGGATGGGTTGGGAAGAGGAACCTTAATTATAGAAAACCTCATACATAAAACATTGAAGGCACGGGCCTTGCCTGTCATATATTCACTGCTGTACTTCTCTGTCAGATGTGTGCCTGGCATGCAGTAGGCATTGAAAAAGTATTTGTCGGCCAGCGCAGGGGCTGTTTCCTGTAATCCCAGTTTGGGACCAGCCTGGGCAATATAGTAAGACTATATCTCTACCAAAAAAAAAAAAAAAAAAAGCCAGGAATGGTGCCATGTGCCTATGGTCCCAACTACTTGGGAGGCTGAGGTGGGAGGATCACTAGAGCCCAGGAGTTTGAGACCAGCCTGGGCAACATAGTGAGACCCCCATCTCTACCAAAAAAAAAAAAAAAGTCAGGTTAGCCAGGCATCATGCCATGTGCCCATGGTCCCAGCTACTTGGAGGGCTGAGGCAGGAGGATCGTTTGAGCCTGGGAGGTCAAGGCTGCATAGAGCTGTGATCATACCACTACACTCCAGCCTGGGTGACAAAGTGAGGCCCTGTCTCAAAAAACCAAAACAGCAACAACAGACAACACCAAAAAATAAGAATTTGTTGAATTAAGAGAGCAATGATATTGATTGGTAGATACAAACTTTGATTCTGATTACCCAGAGTTCATAACAGCAGAAATACTGATGTTATGAAACGAAAAATAAGATTTAGCATTATATTTATTCACAAATTTGTTAGACTATATAGGATAAGTTAGGAATGAAATATACATAAACATTGTCACTACTCAAATTCCTTTCTAAAATTTCTTCCTCAAAGTATGATTTTTAAAAAAATTTACGGTGGGTAAATGTTACCATAAAAGATTAGTTTCACAATAGGGATTATTTATATGATGTATAAATGAATTAGTGGATTAGGACCTTTTTTTAATGAATAAGTAATATTTTACTTTTTTGCTAAACTGCTTAAATAGTTATGTCAATACATGTCTCCTAAAAATAAGGATGTTTTCTTATTAAATGTGTTTATAGAAAGGAGGCCTCTTGAGTGTCGTATATGTTGATGAGTTTTCATTGGCAGTATGGCATGTTTGTTTTGTGAATTTGAATATACTCCTTTCTCAGAAAATACAATTTTGGCTTTATATGATTGTAAAAATATATTTCTTAGGAATAGTCTCTGGGCCTTTGACTATTACCAATTTAAGTCGGTAAGTTAGTGGGGAAACTAGGAGGCCATTACATAGAAACTCAGTTGCTAGTTTTTGGAAAAATATGCTTTCTGCAAATGAAGAACACATCCAATAGTTGCTATTTATTCATTTATTATATTATACTTAAGACATGTAAATGTTAGGCACCATCTACGTGCTAGATATCTTCATGTTTTACATAAATGAAAAAGATAGCTTGTATTCCTATTGGGTTTGTCAGATGGATCCTGTGTATGTAGTACAATCTATACTATAGTCTTCTTAAAAAGTCAACACATTGCATTTTGGACATTAACTTCTGCGTATGTGTCATGTTTGATAAAGGTACTGTGTGAATCAGGATCACATTTGTAATTGATATTTCATGTATAACCAAATTAGTAATATATGAAACAAGCCTCTTCTTGAATTTTGCAGTTGATAAAAATGGTGATGTGTGCATTTCTATTCTTCATGAGCCTGGGGAAGATAAGTATGGTTATGAAAAGCCAGAGGAACGCTGGCTCCCTATCCACACTGTGGAAACCATCATGATTAGTGTCATTTCTATGCTGGCAGACCCTAATGGAGACTCACCTGCTAATGTTGATGCTGCGGTAAGGTGGTCACACGTCTTCCCTTCCCTTCACTTTCCCTTGTAATAAAACCTGAACTATAGTTAGTATGTATGTAAGTATGCATGAATGTATGCATGCGTGTGTGTGTGTGTGTGTGTGTGTATCTCTTCCCATAGTTCTTATTTTTGACAAAATAAATATATTTATTTACGTATTTATTTTATTTTTTTTGAGACAGGGTCTCTCTGTCACCTAGGCTGGAGTGCAGTGGCACAATCATAGGTCACTGCAACCTCAAACTCCTGGGCCCAAGTGGTCCTCCAGCCTTGGCTTCCCAAATTGTTCCGATTACATGTGTGAGCCACCATGCCTGACCAAAAGTGCATATTTATTGTATACAACATGTTGTTTTGAAATATGGATATGTTGTGGAATGGCTAATTTGAGCTAATTCACATATGCATTACCTCACATACTTACTAATTTTATTGTGAGAACACTTAAATTCTCCTCTCAGCAGTTTTCAAGAATACTATACGTCGTTATTAGGATGTAAACTGTGACACCAAATTTAGAATTGGGGGTGGAATGGGCAGAGCAGAAGTGTAGTTTTTCAATGCAATCAGATTTTTATCAGCTTAAAATGGCTTGTCGTAACTGTGAAATTTTTTTGTAAGCCTCATTTTAACCACAGAGCAAAGTCCTACAGTAGTTAACACAAAAGATAAAAAGTAAGGAATCGGGGCTGGGCACGGTGGCTCACAACTGTAATCCCAGCACTTTGGGAGGCCGAGGCGGGTGGATCACGAGGTCAGGAGATTGAGACCATCCTGGCTAACACGGTGAAACCCCGTCTCCATTAAAAATACGAAAAATTAGCCGGGCGTGGTGGCGGGCGCCTATAGTCCCAGCTACTCGGGAGGCTGAGGCAGGAGAATCACTTCAACCTGGGAGGCAGAGGTTGCAGTGAGCCGAGATCTGGACTCTAAAAACAAAAGCGATTGTCATACCTAAGACAATTTAATGCCTGGTCTGAAGTTCATATTATTATCCCCAAGTTTTCAATTTTCAAAAGTTTCACATCTATAGAAAAAAATGTATTAGTTAAATGAACACCAGCATACCTTTCACCTAGGTTCACCAGTTGTAGAAATTTTGCAACTTTTTTTCCTAAACAGTTTGAGAGTAGTTTATAGATACCATAACCCTTCACCCCAAAATGTTTCAGGATCTGTTCCCTAAGAACAAGGCTGTCTTTCCATATACACAGTACAAGTCTGTCGTTAATGTAGTACTATTATTGTTTATGCATATATAATCTATATTCACATTGGATTGGATTGTCCAGTATTCTTTATAGCTGCCACGCCCCTATCCTGCAGTTTTTTTTTTCTTTTTAAATCCAGAGGCTAGTCTAGGAACCTCTGTTTTATTTGTATTCAAGTTTTATTAGTCGGCTTTAATCTAGAATAGTTCCTAGTTCCTTAGCCTTCTCTCCTTCTTTGAAAAGCCTTTTTTTCTTATTCTTAGAACCTTTGTTAGTACTATATACCAAAGCCAGGGCATAAAATTTACCTTTTTTCTTAGGTTAATAACAACTTGGGTGGAATCTTATATACAGACTGAGACACTATAGATAACTCCCTTTGAAAGCTATGACTGAAATTAATAATAGAATTGAACTAAAAACTGGCAGAAAACTATCTATTTAATCAAGTATTAGTCTAAACAATGTAAGACATGATAAGGGAGAAGGGGTGATAGCTGCATTAAAAGAAATCCTAGGAAATCATTTTGAGAGAGACCTGATGAATGTTTATATGGTTCATGCTCAACTATCAGCAATTTTAATAATAAGATCAGAGTTGGCCAGGCGTGGTGGCTCACACCTGTAATCCCAGCCGTTTGGGAGGCCGAGGTGGGCAGATCACAAGGTCAGGAGTTCGAGACCAGCCTGGCCAAAGTGAAACCCCGTCTTAACTAAAAATACAAAAAAATTAGCCAGGCGTGGTGGCAGGCGCCTGTAATCCCAGCTGCTTGGGAGACTGAGGCACGGAGAATTGTTTGAACCTGGGAGGCAGTGCTTGCAGTGAGCCCAGATTGCGCCTCTGCACTCCAGCCAGGGTAACAGTGCAAGACTCCATCTAAAAAAAAAAAAAAAAAAAATCAGAGCTGACAAGTTGCCCTTTTTATTTTATGTATGTATTTATTTATTTTTGAGACAGAGTCTTGCTCTGATGCCCAGGCTGGAGTGCAGTGGCGTGATCTCACCTCACTGCAACCACAACCTCTGCCCTCTGTGTTCAATCGATTCTCCTGCCTTAGCCTCCCAAGTAGCTGGTATTACAGACGTGCGGAACCACGCCCAGCAATTTTTTTGTGTGTTTTTAGTAGAGATGGGGTTTCACCATGTTGGCCAGGCTGGTCTCAAACTCCTGACCTCAAATGATCTGCCCGCCTTGGCCTCCTGAGGTGCTGGGATTACAGGCATGAGCTACTGCACCTGGCCCTTTTATCTTAAAGAAGAGTAAATTAATAGCCAATAACCAAGACCATGAATATGCAAAAATTACTTTATTAACCCTTCAAAATAGCTGAATCTAAAAAGAGCCAAATGTACTGCCAGAGTAAAGTCATTCTCTTGATGCTAAACATTTTCCTAAGTGTTGAAATAGGCCTTAATGTGAGGTTGAAATATGCAAATATGAGTTCTAGTCCAAATACCACAAATTGTGCAAAATCTATTCCTTTTTTTTCTTGAATCCCACTGGTTCTTCCTTCTGATTTAACTAGTTAGTTGTCTCATATTAAAACCAAAAACCATGACTTATAAACAGTTTACCATTCTTTTTTTTTTTTTTTTTGAGACAGAGTCTCACTCTGTTACTCAGGCTGGGGTGCAGTGGCACAATCTCAGCTCACTGCAACCTCCACCTCCCGGGTTCAAGTGATTCTCCTGCCTCAGCCTCCCGAGTAGCTGGGATTACAGGCATCTGCCACCACGCCTGGCTAATTTTTGTAGTTTTAGTAGAGACAGGGTTTTGCCATGTTGGCCAGGCTGGTCTCAAACTCCTGACCTCAGGTGATCCACTCACCTCGGCTTCCCAAAGTGTTGGGATTACAGGTGTGAGCCACCCGGCCCAGTTTACTATTCTTACTTGCTTTTTCTTCTCTCATATTACACCTTTGATCATATTTTCATAGTATTGATTTTCTGACCTCTCAGTCTGCAGTACCTATTCCAGGAAACCCGCATTTTTCTTAGCCACCTCTCTCCTGGGTCCCTTTCTTCTTTGGCTCCAATTTTTTTTTTTTTTTAAAGATGTAGTCTCGCTCTGTCGCCAGGCTGGAGTGCAGTGGTGCAATCTCAGCTCACTGCAACCTCCACCTCCCAAGTTCAAGCGATCCTCCTGCCTCAGCCTCCTGAATAGTTGGAACTACAGGTGCGTGCCACCATGCCCAGCTATTTTTTTGTATTTTTAGTAGAGATGGGGTTTCACCATGTTGGCCAGGATGGTCTTGATTACTTGATGTCGTGATCCGCCTGCCTCGGCCTCCCAAAGTGCTGGGATTACAGGCATGAGCCACCTCGCCCGGCCGCTTTGGCCCCAGATTTGATTGACTCTCTCAGCCTGGGGCTTAGTTGATTTGCTCAGATTACCCCTTCACTGCTCTTCTCAATTGAATCTTTTGTTTCATGGATCCCATTTCTTCTTTTTCTTCTTGGTTGATTTCTTCCTTCATCCTAGAGTAATGTTTTAGGGTATGTGGCAATTAAATCCTTAGTCTATTTATGATGTAAGGTGCTTTTATTTTTCCCTTATACTTGATTGATACTTTGTTTCTAATATTATAGGGAGAAAATCAAATTTATATAGAATTTATATTTTACTATTTCTTATTGCTGATGTGAAAATTGGTACTAGGCTGATTCTTTTCCATTTTTAGGTGACTTGTTCTTTTTTCCTTTTCTTTTTTTCCCCATTGTACTTAGGTTCTTTTCTTTATGATTGGTCTTTGGAAATTTCACAGAGTTGTGTGAACTCTTTTTGATTTGCCAAATTAAAATTTGCTTTAATTTTAAAGATACCAGCCCTGGGAAATTTTCGTTTTAAATTATTTTGAGGCTGGGCATGGTGGCTTACGCCTGTAATCCCAGCACTTTGGGAGGCCGAGGCAGGTGAGTTACTTAAGGCTAGGAGTTTGAGACCAGCCTAGGCGACATGGTAAAACCCCATCTACAAAAAATACAAAAATCAGCTGGGTGTGGTGATGTGCACATGTTGTCCTAGACGCTTCGGAGGCTGAGGTGGGGGATTGATTGCATGAGCCCAGGTGTTCAAGCCTGCAGTGAGCTATGATCACCACTGCACTTCAGCCCAGGCAACAGAGTGAGACCCTATCTCCAAAAAAAAAAAAAAAAAAAAAAAGAAAGAAAAGAAAAGAAAAGAAAAAGAAAAAGAAATGACAGTCTCGGGGGGAAAAAAACAAATGGTATTTATGTCACTCAAAGCTATATGGCTATTTGGATGACAAAGCTACTAAACTGAAGGTAAGGGTAAGGGTTGGAGGAAGAGGTGTCTTTTAAATTCCAAAATGAAGGAGTAATTGTTTTTGGCACCAATACCCACACTAGCAGTTCTTTTATTTATTTTTTGTTTTTTTTTTGAGACAGATTCTCGCTCTGTCGCCCAGGCTGGAATGCAGTGGCATGATCTCGGCTCACTGCAACCTTTGCCTCCCGAGTTCAAGTGATTCTCTCACCTCAGCCTCCTGAGTAACAGGGATTATAGGCACGTGCCACCATGCCTGGCTAAATTTTTTGTATTTTTAGTAGAGATGGGGTTTCACCATGTTGGCCAGTCTGGTCTTAAACTCTTGACCTCAGGTGATCCACCTGCCTCTGCCTCCCAAAGTGCTGAGATTACAGATGTGAGCCACCACACCCAGCCTAGCGGTTCTAATTATAGTATTCTTCAGTATATTTATATAAAGTTTATATATTATTATTTTGGGAAAGTTAAAATTTTGGATATAGGTGAGGGAAAATGTTGAGTATACAGACTTTCAATTAATCTCTATTTTCAGGCCCTCTTTTTTTTTTTTTTTTGAGAGACGGAGTCTCGCTCTGTCGCTCAGGCTGGAGTGCAGTGTCACGATATTGCCTCACTGCAACGTCTGCCTCTCAGGTTCAAGCGATTCTCCCACCTCAGCTTCCCAAGTAGCTGGGACTACAGGCATGCACCACCACGTCCAGCTAATTTTTGTATCTTTTAGTTGAGATGGGGTTTCATCATGTTGGCCAGGCTGGTCTTGAAGTCCTGACCTCAGGTGATCCTGAGGTCCTGCCTCGGCCTCCCAAAGTGCTGAGATTATAGGCGTGAGCCACTGTGCATGGCCTCAGCCCCACTTTTTATTCAGGCTCTTCTCAGATTTGCCATTTCCAAATTTTAGCTTCTCTAGGCCTCTGTTTAATAGACCCTTTTCCCTTTGTTTCCTCTCTCCTCCAACTCCTCTCTCTCCTGCTCTTCCCTTTCCCTCCCCTCCCTTCATTACCCCACTGTTCTGTTCCATTTTTGTATGTCAGGCAGTGACAGTGATAATTGTCATATATTTTCCTCTACAGTAGAAATGGTACTTAGTATCATCTCAATATGATGCATCCCACCTATCTACCTTATGTTGCAGACACTTTTATGTTTATTTTCTGGTTGTTTCCAATAGGGAGAGTTGGTAATCCTTCAGATTACCAACTGAATGTCTTTTTTTGAGATGGAGTCTCGCTCTGTCGTCCAGGCTGCAGTGCAGTGGCACCATCTCAGGTCACAGCAAGCTCCACTTCCCCAGTTCAAGCGATTTTCCTGCCTCAGCCTCCTGAGTAGCTGGGATTACAGGCATGTGCCACCACGCCTGGCTAATTTTTGTACTTTTATTCTCACCATATTGGTCAGGCTGGTCTCAAACTCCCGACCTCGTGATCCGCCCACCTCGGCCTCCCAGCTTGCTGGGATTATGGACGTGCGCCACGGCCCCTGGCCTGAATGTCTTATTGGTATATTTTAGCTTTCTATTTCAGTGTAATACAAAACTGTAAATGTTCTTTTGTGACCTTTTTCTTTTTTAAAGATAATTTTTAATGTAGAGGTAATTTGCATAGGAGATTTCTGCCTGTATATCCTGGTAGTGTCTTGAAAAAGTATGTCTAACTGCTTTCTACCTTTTCAACTCTATAATGTTTCTGAAGTGTACAAATCACCAAGGGATTACATTCAAAATTAAAATAAATATTTGAGATTATAAAGGGGAGTTTGCATGAAATCACTTGATACTGCTTTTTTAATCTACAGAAAGAATGGAGGGAAGATAGAAATGGAGAATTTAAAAGAAAAGTTGCCCGCTGTGTAAGAAAAAGCCAAGAGACTGCTTTTGAGTGACATTTATTTAGCAGCTAGTAACTTCACTTATTTCAGGGTAAGTTTATTTTAAATATCATACTTTTGTTTTTTTGTAAGTATCCTATTAGTTTTTGGAAATTGTGTGATTTGGGTATTTGAATTACATTTTTTCATTGACTTCATTTTTTAATGGTATTATCCTGTAGTCTCGTTCTCAAAACTACTGTATAATCTGCTTGCTTTTCTCCTAAGACACCCAGCTGTTTTTGACTAGATATTCTGCATTCATATGGTTAGTATGCTGGTCTGTTTCTTTTCACTGATGGTAAAGTTTCTAATGATAAGGTTGTTATTTCAGTTTAGTTTCTTTGTTTGACTTTTTGATCTAGCATCCTGATCACTTGGGCACTAATGTATCTTCATATACTGTATTATGTAGGGTATAGGCAAGACTATTAGTCATCTACCTATTCCTTTAAGGTTGGTCTTCTGGCCAGGCGTGGTGGCTCATGCCTGTAATCCCAGCACTTTGGGAAGCCGAGGCGGGTGGAACACCTGAGATCAGGGGTTTGAGACTAGCCTGGACAACATGGTGAAACCTCCCCTCTACTAAAAATACAAAAATTAGCCAGGCCTGGTGGCGTGTGCCTGTAATCCCAGCTACTCAGGAGGTTGAGGGAGGAGAATCGCTTGAACCTGGGAGACGGAGGTTGCAGTGAGCCAAGATTGCACCGTGGCACTACAGCCTGGACAACAGAGCAAGACTCTATCTCAGAAAAAAACAAAAAACAAACAAACAAAAAGTTGGTCTTCTATCTCCTTGGTCTTTACAGATAGGGCCAGTAGTTAAAAACTTCCCTTTTATTGTATAACATCTGTCCACAGTTTTATGTTAGGTCTAGAAAGGAGTCAAAGATGGAAGGCACCCATCCACCTTAGAAGAGGAAATAATATAGATTAATTGCTCACATGTGGGTTATTTGGTCTCTTCTTTTAAAATTAAATATTGAAATGATAGAAACTGAAGTGAAGACTATCCTTTCAGGGATCATTTCTATAGTTTGTTACTATAGAAGTTTTCTGAAGGTGTAGAGCACCAAAGGATACAACATTGAGCTGGTTTCAAATTCAGCTGCTTTGATTCAGCAAGCTGCAACAGTTAAAAACATAGCAGAAAATTGTTATTGAATATCTATGTCTCTGAAAACGGAATAGTTCTGCAAGTTGGTGAATAAAGTCTAAGAGTTGTCCAGCTACAGAAACAAGATGCCAGATGATTCGTAAGACCTATTCGTGATATTTAAATTACTCAATAAAAGACCTATTGATTTGTGGGGGTTGAGGGAGAAACCGAAATACACTGTCTGAAAAATCACAATCCATGGCACATCTTGAGTCTACCTATTTTAAGAAAATGAACATTACCATTATCTTCTGTCCCCTACACTCCGCTGCTTTCTTCTGTCCCTTTCTCATATTCCTAACTCTGGGTTTACTATTGCTTTTCTTCATAATTTTACCAAATTTGCATGTTTAAACAATGTATTTCATGATTTTGAACTGTTTATATGTGGAATGATAATGAATGCATTCTTCTGTTACTTTTATTGCTCAATATTCTTCAAATTGATCTGTGTTGCAAATAGGTACATTTCACCTGTGTGCTATTACACTGGGTAAATTACCGCTCTACTCCTTATTCTCATTGCAGTTATTTTCTGAATTGGTGTAGGGGTGTTTGTTCTTTTTCTGTTATAGAGGGTGGCTATCCTTGTTTCCTGATTTGCATGTACTGTAAGAGGTTCTCTAGGGTATATACTTGGGGTGGAATTCTTAAATCAAGGGTACGCGTATTTCATTTTGAGTAGATAATGCCAAATTGTTTTCTAAAGTGTTCCTTCTTTTCATAGTCCCATTGGCAAGGATAAAGATCCCCTTTGTGGCCAGGTGCGGTGGCTCACACCTGTAATCCCAGCACTTTGGGAGGCCGAGGCGGGTGGATCACAAGGTCAGGAGTTCAAGACCAGCCTGGCCAATATGGTGAAACCCCATCTCTACTAAAAATATAAAAAATTAGCCAGGCACAGTGGCGTGCGCCTGTTGTCCCAGTTAGGAGGCTGAGGCAGGAGAATCGCTTGAACCCGGGAGGCGGAGGTTGCGGTGAGCCGAGATCACACCACTGCACTCCAGCCTGTGCAACAAGAACAAAACTCCGTTCCAAAAAAAAAAAAGATTCCCAGCCGGGCATGGTGGCTCATGCCTGTAACCCAGCATTTTGGGAGGTTGAGATGGGCAGATCACTTACAAGACCAGCCTGGTCCATGTGGCTGAAACCCCATCTCTACCAAAAAATATAAAAATTACCAAGGTGTAGTGGTGCACTCCTATAGTCCCAGCTACTCAGGAGGCTGAGATGGGAGAATCACTTGAACCCAGGAGGCGGAGGTTGCAGTGAGCTGAGATTGCATCATTGCACTCCAGCCTGGGCAACAGAGCGAGACTCCATCTCAAAAAAAAAAAAAAAAAAAAAAAAAAAAGCCCAGGTGCCGCGGCTCACACTTGTAATCCTAGCACTTGTGGGAGCTGAGGCAGGTGGATTACCTGATGATGGGAGTTCAAGACCAGCCTGGCCAACATGGTGAAACCTCGTCTCTACCAGATATACAAAAAATTAGCCATGTGCAGTGGTGCACACCTGTAATCCTAGCTACTCTGGAAGCTGAGGCAGGAGAATCACTTGAACCCAGGAGGCGGAGGCTGCGATGAGCCGAGATCACGCCACTGCACTCTAGCCTGGGCTACAGAGTGAGACTTCATCTCAAAAAAAAAAAAAAAAGTCTATCTATCTAAATCTGGATATTGTGGACTTAATATGAATTGCCCTAGTTACCAGTGAAATTGCATATCGTTTCATGTGTTTGACCATTGAGGTTTTCTCTGTGAATTGCGTGTTCAGGTTTTTAGATTACTTTTTCAGTTTGTTGATTTGTGTACTTGTCCTTTTATTTTCTTTGTGGTATCCTTTGGACAAACTGAGGTTCATATATATATATATATATATATATATATATATATATATATATATATAACTTTTTTTTGGGGGCAGAGTTTCGCTGTGTCGCTCGGGCTGGATTGCAGTGGTGCAATCTCGGCTCACTGCAATCTCCGTCTCCTGGGTTCAAGCAGTTCTAGTGCCTCAGCGTCCCAGAGTGCTGGGATTACGGGCATGAGCCACCGCACCTGGCCTGAGGTTCTTAATTTTAATGCAGGTGAATTGATTAGTCTTTTCCTTTATGGATTTTACTTTTCGTTTCTTGGCTAGAGAGCCTGTTCTTTTTTAACCACCAAAAATCTGTTTTGTTTCGCTTTTCATATTTGTGTTGAATCCATTGAAATTGATTTTTGTGTATGGTATGAGGTAGAGGTTGAACTTCACTCACCCCACTTTCCCCTGATGTGTAACTGTTGACTGTACCATTTATTGACAAGTCCTTGCTTTCACCACTGGTACACAGTGCCTGTTATGTTCTACAATCAGATTTCCAACACATCAGCCAGTACGTGTTGATCTGTTTTGGGCATTTTTTTTTTTTTTTTTGAGATGGAGTTTCACTCTCATTGCCCAGGCTGGAGTGCAATGGCGTGATCTCAGCTCACTGCAACCTCCGCCTCCCAGGTTCAAGCAATTATCCTGCCTCAGCCTCCCAAGTAGCTGGGATTACAGGTGTGTGCCACCACTCCTGGCTTATTTTGTATTTTTTAGTAGAGATGGGATTTCACCATGTTGGTCAGGCTGGCCTCGAACTCCTGACCTCAAGTGATCCACCTGCCTTGGCCTCTCACAGTGCTGGGATGACAGGCATGAGCCACTGTGGCTGGCCATG